>NC_000004.12:110133502-110285017 GCF_000001405.40 Homo sapiens
AAGAGGTAAGGTGACAGGCTTTGGGAAGATGAGGCTTGCGGAGGCGGGGTTGTCACAGGTGTCAAGGGAGCCTGAGAGGACAGGGAAAAAGGGAAGAAAAGGCATGCACCTTCTCATCTTGCTTAACCCTTCATTTAAGTCCCAAGTCTGTTTGGAGAGCAAAGTCCTAGGCTAAAAGGAAGTCATTATTTCCCAATATAATCTCTCTGGGTGTCCAAAGAAGAAAATTAAGATATGAAAGAAAAAGTTAAATTCACCAAATTAAACTAGAGTATTTCTAAGACCTGACTAACATTTATAGAAACAACTCACCTCATAGTTACTTAGGCAGGCACTGATTAAATGTCTATTACTTAAAGCTTCTCTAAAAATGTAACATCTAAACATCCAAAATGACAATTACCAGAAGCCTGTTTACATACGTTTAGAAAAGTAGAATAATAATATCCATAACGCTTTAACGCAGTAGATCCTGTGATTATTTCATGTATCCATTCATTCGTTCAACAAATACTTATAAGGCTTACCGGCATTAAAAAGGTGAACTTGTGCTCATGAAGCCTACATTCTAGCAGGAGACAGAAATTAACAAATAACTCTGAGGATACATTACAATGTTATAGTGTTGTGTACAAAAATAAAACAAAGCAAATGGCCCAGGAATGACAAGGCTTCATTAGGTGTGGTGCTCAGGGAAGACCTCTATTAGTGGAGTAGAAATATATGAACATAAATGCTTGAAGTGACGAGAGAACATATTTGACTGCATAATTGATGTCTGTTTCTGATCCCCAGGATATGGTCCTTCCTTCGATACTCCATCACTGAGCCCTACAAGTTGCCAGGCACCAATTTAAGCATGGTTTGGGAGGGATAGAAGTATTAAAACACTTCTTACCCTCAGGAGTCACTATGACACATGGAAGAATGTGATCAGTCATGAGAAAATGATTTTTAAAAATTATGCTAAGTCAGCTGATAGTGGGATCATTTCAGGCTGTAAGAACACAAGGCCTCTGGGGGGACATGTATTGTGGCAGGATAGAGAAAAGTGGAGATCGGGAAATAAAACATTACAGAATGAAGGAACAACATGAAATAAAGGTTAGAGAATGTTTGTGCAGAGAATGAAGACATTTGGCAGATGTGTTTACAGTGTTTAAAAGGGATGATGTGAACTGGGTGTGGTAGCTCATGTCTGTAATCCCAGCACTTTGGGAGTTGAGGTAGGAGGATCACTTGAGGCCAGGAATTCGAGACCAGCCTGGACAACATTGCAAGACCTCATCTCTACAAAAAATTTTAAAATTAGCTGGGCTGGTTATGCAGGCTTGTAGTCTCAGCTACTCAGGAGGCTGGGGTGGGAAGATTGAGCCCAGGAGTTCAAAGCTGCAGTAAGTTGTGATCATACCACTGCACTCCAGCCTGTGTACCAGAACAAGGCCCTGTCTCCAGAAAAAAAAGTGATGATGTAGGACATAAGGTGGAAGAGGAACTATGAAGGGCCTTATATTCCAGGCTAAAAATGTGAGTACTTTCCTTTTATGTATATCACTAACAGACGTATAAAATAGAACCTAGGATATTCTTCCTTTATTATGTGGATGTATAACTGGTTGACGATAAGAGAATCACCTTAAGGCTAACAAGGAAGTCATTTAAAATAATCTGAAGGTACCTAATGAATGTGATTTAGTAAGCCTGTACCAGAGTCCAGTGTTTCTTGAGACTTTTCAGAAACTGCACTAAGAACTTGATGCTGATTTCTCCTTTCCTCTTCACACTAACTTCACTAGGTATGTGTACCATCCCCCATTTGCAGATAAAGAAATGCAGCACATACTGTGTTAAATAACTTGCGTAAGTTTGCATAACTTGTAAGAAATGGAGTGAGGTCTCAGTTCAAACTGGCTTCTGTATGACTTCAAAGCCAAAGTCAGCAACTTAGAAGGCAAAAATTATAATTTAGTTGGCAAATACGAGAAAAGGTCAGAAACACATGAAATGAAGCTCAATAGGAACACTTACAGGGTAGCAGGGTAGTAGCCTAGGGAAAAAAGTCAGACACTAAAATTGTTTAAATAGGTAAGTTCAAGGGACAGGTAAAGACCTTAGTGGGTAAGAAGCCAATCAGCAGACGAACTGCAAGCAAGCACTGTCTCTCTTTCCCTTCTGTCTCCTCTTGTAGTAACTGACCACAATTAAGGCTGCCTAGGGGAATAATGAAGTAATCCTCCTATTATCAGCAATGGTCTGATCCAGTGCCAGGCACCACAGACAACTTGGTGTTCAGAGAAGATCCTTCAAGATGAACAAAGGGTCAAAATAAAAAATTCTAGAAGAGAGAAGACTGATCACAATTTAATGTAAGGCTTGGAAGGAACTGATCTCTACCTTCCTTAACATCTCAAGAACTTCCTCAGATTCATTGGATGTTGAGTGTGTGTGAGTCTAGTAGAAAAATGAATTTTTGTTTCTTAACTTGGATATGTGATTAGGATGTTAATAATTAAGTCTGGGCTAATATTGAAGGTATCTTATGATGGGCTTCTTAAAGCATTGATCACAAAGACTGCATGTTCATAAACTGAGCTGCACTTGTTAGGATTCTAGATGTTTGAAATTTCTTGTGTTATTTTGGTCTCAGATTTCTAGACAAATTTTCTCAAATTCCTATTTCACTTTTTGACATATCATGAGTGACTCAAATGTTTGCCCTTGAGTCGGAAAACACCCAGCATTAGGAATAGGCACATAAACATAATACTTCAAGCTTCAGATTTAAGCTCAATTATAAAGTGTTTAAAGGCTGTGCTGATAGTTCTTCTGAGTAGAATTCCTACAACTATGGGTTTGTCTATAATAAAATGTTCACTCTATATTGAACGCCTTATTTAAAACTCGAAATGTGTAAGTAGTAATAAAGAAAATATGTCCTCCTGTAACCAAAGCTAGGACCGATTACATGTTCACTTGACTGACAGATACAATCACCTATATTAGGAGCAATCAGCACTTCCTTACAAACTAACAACTTGAGATGTAGTGTTCCCATTGGCTATGAAGATTTTCTTTATTTACTCAGAATAGTCTGTAGGATCTGCCAGCTGCCCCTGATTATACCAGCTGCACCCAATGATCACAGTGAACATTATTTTACATTCTAAATAACTGGTGCAAGGTGAGCCATGGTTTTCTGAGTTTCCTATCACCTTTGTGTTTCAGGTCCTCAAATGTTAATTTGTAAAGCTGCTGTTTCAGGCAAAACTAACAAAATTAGCATCTAATCAATAACCATACTATGTCCACCCATATCCTATAACACAGAAGTAGGGGAAGAGTGAGAAAGGTGGAAGTGGAGAAATAGAGGCCCAAAAAGAAAGTTTTATCACAGGAATATCTAGATGTCTTCTGGGATTGTCTGTTAAAGAGCTGTGACACTCATATAAATGCAGAATTACTCTCTTTCTTCCTTGTTGGTTAGAAGGCCAAGGGTGCCATGGTAATACTACCAAACATATATCAAAGCTTGGCAGGAAAAATGGTACCTTCAGAAATTTTATAATCTGATATCAAATAGGTCAAGAAATATAATAAAACTAGTTTCTTTGGTTTCCTTAGAAACCTGGAAAACTTTAAATTAGAAACTTAGAAAGCTTTAAATCAGACTTTGTAGTTAAAAAAGGAAATTTTAGTTCCTTCCAGCATTAGAATTCCGTGATTCTCTGACTCTGAGCCTGGATTAAATCTAGCCCAGCTGAGTGGAAACTTAAGTAACTAGCTGGTTGCCTTTAGTGATCTTCCACTTTATGGCTGCTTCCGCCTAAGAAGTTCATCATCGTGACTTACTTTCTTTGGGGCAAAGTCGTGACTAACTTTCTTTGGGGCAAAGTTGGAAAGCAGAGGTCAAAGTCAATCAGAAATGGGACAAACTCACTTCCTACTGCCTGGTGAAGGGGCCATTTTCAGTAGCCCCTTTTCAAGATTAGTTTCATTCAAGATTTGATAAGCTGTTTTGACTTTACTATAGATCTTATTATCCATGTCAGTTAAGTTTATGCTTCCACTAAATCTATCTGAATTCAAAAGGTAAAAAGCTAATGCTCAGTCTTATCAGATTTATCTTATTTATTAATAGAATGTGGATTTTTTTAAGCATATAACAATAATAGTAATGATAGGACCATAAATGTGGATGGCTCTTTACAAGTCACTAACATTACATAAATTCCTCAACAACACACTCTGAGGCCATAACAAACTTTTAGAAATAACACAATTGGCTACGGAACTCCAGCCATCTAGCTTCATGGGCTCCCACTTTAATTTCAAAACAACAGAACTGTGCACATTCATTTACATGATTAGGGCAGAGCTTAACTGTATCTCATGTAGCACCTACATCATTCTTCAGACAAACTTATTGCCTTTTACAGACAAGAAAACTGGGGCTCAAAAAAGGACTTGCTTATAACTGGCTAATAAAGAGGAACTCTGGGTTCAAAGTGAGTCCAATTCTTTCTTCCACCCACAGCTTCTGCTAAAGTCATTACAGAAATGCATAGAGCAGTTCTTCCACGTTATTGCTTAGGTTTCTAAAGAGCAGTGACCTAATACAACATGCTCTATAATTTATTACTGATTTAACTATTTCACTAAGGATTCACTTTTAACTTTTAACTTGTAAATATGTCTAATAAACACCACTGAAATAGCAACCTCTTTCTTCATGGCCTTGTGGTTGTAAAGCAAGCTAGTAATATATGTCTGTGGATTTGTGCTAATAAAGTTCTATACACCTCATTAATTCCACAAATCCTACTGGGTATTTCTTATCTGCCAGATCCTACGCTAGGTACTGGATACACAGTACTGAACAAAATGGGTACAAATGAGCCTCACAGAGCTTGTTTCATTGAAAAGCAGAGAGATACACACTAATCAACAAATTAATAGTAACACACTACGATGTGTTTTGAAGGAAAATTAGAGCATCAAAGAGACGGTGTTAGCAGGTGGAGGGGAGCTCTTTTAGATGGAGAATGAGAATGCCTCCCTAAAGACATGGGAATAAATTGAGATCACAAAAAATGAGAAATAGCCAGCCTTGAGAAGAGCAGAAGGAAGAACATTCAAAGGAAAAGAAAGTGCATACTGGAAAGCCTGAACACTAGAGTTTGGTGTATGTAAGGAGCTGAGCAATGGTCACTTGTGTGATAAGATGTGTGGATGTGGGGTGGGGGGCAGGGGTGAGTCCCACGCAGCTCTTAAGTGTGTCCTCAGACTCCTGTGGTTTCCATCAGCCACAACCTGAATAACTGTGTGGTAATCCAAAAATGATTACAGATTAAACATATAAAAATATCATTACACCCATAGTACCTAAGCCAAGGACACAGTATTCTATCTTTTCAATGAAGATCTGCATGAAGTAAAATTATTATATATAATTTTAGGTATTGATATAGATACATCAGTGGATAGATATAGATATGTGTCTCTGGTATAGAAAAAAGTTTTAAAGGGATATTAAAAGTTCTTATCTTGCAGGGTTGAAGATTGTGGCAACTTTCATTTCTTTTTAATTTTAAGAAAAAAGTGGTATTATGGGGGATTAGCATGTTTGTGGGTATATGTATATTTTTAATTAAAAAATAAACAACAAAATGAAAACGTTTTTCTTCTATGAAAGCCTAATAAGAAGAAATTTCAGCTGTTTTAACTTAGGGAGCTAAAAACATCAAATCCAAGAATGTTCTCTGGAACTGAGCTCAATACATTTTTATTTGAGTAAGAATTGGATACATTTCCATCCCCTTGGGGCTCCAGTCTGTCAATATTTTACTTTTCAGCGATAAAAAGACACATGTAGATAATCACAGTGACCTCAGTAACTTTCCTTCTCTTATTTAAGTTTATTTTATTTCTATCGTAGTTTTCCCTGTTAAAGATTTTTTCTTTTTGCTTACATATATAATTTTAGAGAATAACAATGCACACACAAAAAATTCCTCTTGTTCTGCTAGACCTGGACTTTTTCTCTAATATATATCTCCATTTTTTGTCTTTTTTCAGACGTATTTTGGAAGCAAAGGAGAGAATTGCTATATAGCTGACTTCCTCTTCTCATCAACAGTGTTTTAACAGTTTTTAAGCAAAAGTCAGCTTTGTTTATCTAAGATTTTTTTTGCTGGCATTTAACCTACCCCTGCCTCCCCTTTCCCAAGTCCACTTCAGCCAACCTCTCATTCGACAGGTACCACCCTCTAACATAACTGAAATAATGTCTACCATTACTGGATCTTGCTAGCAAAGAATCTCAAATTTTCCCACTTGGTTGTAAATTATTTTGTAATCTCTAGTGTTTAAGGTGCGCTTGTCCTATCTAATCCCCTCCCTGGCAGGACACCTTACAGAACCTACCCCTTACACTAGTCATTAAGCACCATCAGGGACGGATGGCTGTGTCACTGGTCTGTTTGGTATTCCCTACTGATCCTACCATGTGGTGATTATCTATGACTTCCCTAATCCCTGGCTGCCTTAGCTGGGACTGGCTGACATGCTTCTCAGGTTGCCGCTGGCTTTACAGTCCTTTACTGCCCATGCCACTTTGGAGATAGGCAGGGCTAGTACTTTTCTATATAAGCCCCCAAACTTGACTTTGTGTTTCACAGTAGGTGAAAAAGTTGGGTCTCTTTTCTTTTACTTTTCTTTCCACAAGATGATAAAGCTAGGGGAAGCCTGTGGACATGGTTTATTTCTGCAACTGCAATGATTGATTGGTGCTTCCTGCTGCTTACTTCCTAAACTTTGTGCTCAGTGTCAGATCCCTAGCAGTTTCTATCCCCTGCTCTGCTAAAAAAGAATGGATGTTGACTCTCAGGCCCTAGTTCTTTTTAATTAAATTGTATTTTTGTTATCATTATTATTATTATTATTTTGAGATGGGGTCTTACTCTGTCGCCCAGGCTGAAGTGCAGTGGTGCAATCACAGCTCACTGTTTTAGCCTCCTGAGTAGCTGGGACTACAAGCGTCATGCCACCATGCTTCTTTTTAATTTTTTAAAATGGTTTTCTGCCTTCAATTCTAAGCACTTCTCAATTGTAACCAAGAGATAATACTTTTTATGAATTCTTAAAGTTATCAACAGATACTCAAAGTTTTAGCAAAGTCTAAATGATATTAAGCTTGTCCTTATTGCCCAAGTGACTTCAATGACTATTTGTTAATTGCAACCAAGGGTCATTTTTTAAATGAATATATATTATTATTATATATATAATATTAAGGTCCTCAAATACCTAAAAGTTTAGCAAAATCTAAATAATATTGTGCATATTCTTTTATTACTGTATTAGTCCGTTTTCATGTTGCTGATAAAGACATACCCAAGACTGGGCAATTTACAAAAGAAAGAGGTTCACTGGACTCACAGTTCCACGTGGCTGGGGAGGCCTCACAATCACGGCAGCTTACGGGATTGTTGAGAAATGACACTTCTCAAGCTGGGGCTAAACTATCTCTGTGGTAGTTGTTCTGATTCAAGTATTGAATTGGTTTTTTTTGTTTTTTTTGAGATGGAGTTTCGTTCTTGTTGCCCAGGCTGGAGTGCAATGGCACGATCTCAGCTCACCGCAACCTCTGCCTCCCGGGTTCAAGTGATTCTCCTGCTTCAGCCTCCCAAGTAGCTGGGACTACAGGCATGAGCCACCACACCCAGCTAATTTTGTATTTTTAGTAGAGACATGGTTTCTCCATGTTGGTCAGGCTGGTCTCAAACTCCCAACCTCAGGTGATCCACCTGCCTTGGCCTCCTAAAGTGCTGGGATTACAGGCATAAGCCACCGTGCCCGGCTGGAGCATTGGTATATAAAAGCTGCCTAGGTAACTCTAACCTTTGGCCCCATACATCTGAAGGATACCTACAATGCACCTGAAAAATGCAACTGAAACAGTAGTTCCCTGGGACCACACACTCAGAAAGGGGGTGTATCAGGAGATCTAGGGACCAGGAGGGTGGAAGACCTAAGGCAGCACTACAGATGATGGAGAAAAACCCACTGGGGAGGGGCGATCCTAACCTTGAGAATCACTGAGATCATGCAGAAGTATTTGATCCTACAGCATTAATATTGTATTGTATTGTATTAGTATATATATATAGTGTATATATATAGTATTAGTATATATATTGTATTGTATTAGCATATATATACTAATTGTATTGTATTGTATTTATATATATAGTATTGTATTAGTATATATATACAGTATATATGTATATATACTAATACAATGTACTAATACAATACAATACCATATATATATACACTAACACAATACAATTAGTATATATATATATATATATACTAATACAATACAATACTATATATATACTAATACAATATATACATATATACTCACCAAGACATATTAGTGGTCTGATGTCTGGCTGCCACACTCATCTTCTACCTTCAGCTCTGCTCTACCAAATATCATTTGTTTCTGGGATCTTTGCAGTCCAAGGAACTTCATCCTTGATATCCCACCCCTTACTAACTTTTTTTTTTTTTTTTTTTTTTGAGACGGAGTCTCGCTGTGTCACCCAGGCTGGAGTGCAGTGGTGTGATCTCGGCTCACTGCAAGCTCCACCTCCTGGGATCACACCATTCTCCTGCCTCAGCCTCCCAAGTAGCTGGGACTACAGGTGCCCGCCACCACACCAGGCTAATGTTTTACCGTGTTAGCAAGGATGGTCTCGATCTCCTGACCTCATGATCCATCCGCCTTGGCCTCCTAAAGTGCTGGGATTACAGGCATAAGCCACCGCACCCGGCCACCCCTTACTAATTTTTAGTAACGTCCAAGGATTAAAGGAAATTTGCCTTACCTATTTAACAGGAATCAACAGGGTTAATCTCACTCCCTTTCTAAAAATAATTTATAAACATTGCAGACAATCTCATCTATCCCTGTCTAAACTGTGTGGAATTACTGCCATTTAATGTAATCAGTCTACTCATTTAGTTTGCCTAAGGAATTTTTGAAAAAACAGTTAAATGAATGACTTAATGGAATAACCAGGAAGTTGAAGTCTCCAATAGTAAGAATGAACTCTTGCTCTCTGGATAATCAAATGGGTCCTTCCTCCTTCAGGTAGATCATGCCATTTCCTCACTTACACTGAACAGGTAAACAACATAATTACTGACTTCAACTTCTAGTTAATTCCTTCTTTTATCACTGAGTATCCTTTGGCTGGGAGTTTTGTTGGCTATGCTGCCATTTTTTCTAGTTATCACAGTCCTATAACATACCAATCCTTCAATATAACTCATCTTTAAATTGTGGTTTTACCTTCTCAAGAAGTTATTAATTATGCCAGTGCTAAATCTTCTAAAATGATTGTTGACTTGTTGATTAGCCCCCATGCAATTCCCCTCTCCCGTCCCTCAGCACGTAAGGAATGGCCCTTTGCTTACTTCCACAGATCCTTAAATCTACCAGTTAGAAGCTAATAGCCTACCTCTCTACCAGGAAGGAACTGTGGGCTGGAACATAATACATGTTGACTTATAATTTCTTAGAAAATTGTGTGAGAAACATCAAACTCCTGATTCCAGGATATGCCAAAGACACATCATTAAAAAGCAAAACAAAACAAAACAAACCTCATTTGACGTTGCTAGTAGTGGCATATTTCATCAAGATCAGCTCAAATAAATAGAAGTGAGATTTTCACACAAATTAGACTGTAGTGCTTTTTTTTTTAACTTATCTTTACCATATGATTTTTAACGGTAAAAAAAATCGTTTGAGATATTAGATGTATAATATTTATCATCCAATTACTTCATTAGTTCAATCTTTTTTCAATGGCGCTCCTGCATCTGAGAATAAGGTCAGAAAATTTCATGTTCTGATTTCATGCTGATTTTCAGAAGAAAAATGTTAGTTTTGTATAGAATAACCCATCCTAAGAAATACATTTCTTATTATATTTCTTATCTTATATTTCTTAGGACAATGAGCTATTCAAAGGGTGATGATAACCAGCACCATCAGTCAGCATTATCTAAGAATAAGAATCTGTGTTTCTACATACAGACCTCCTAAAAAGGAACCTACACTTAACAGGATTCCCCAGGCAATTTGGATGCACATTAAAGCTTGAGCAACACTGCATTAGAAAGTTAGTTTTCCATCACAAAAACAGTAACAAAAGGAATATAAAGTAAGTTACTTTAATAATATAAGAAGAGGGGCAGGCCGGGCGCAGTGGCTCACGCCTGTAATCCCAGCACTTTGGGAGGCTGAGGCGGGTGGATCACCTGAGGTCTGGAGTTCAAGACCAGCCTGACCAACATAGAGAAACTCCATCTCTACTAAAAATACAAAATTAGCCAGGCATAGTGGCAATGTCTGTAATCCCAGCTACTCGGGAGGCTGAGGCAGGAGAAACACTTGAACCTGGGAGGCGAAGGTTGTGGTGAGCCGAGATTGCGCCATTGCACTCCAGCCTGGGCAACAAGAGCGAAACTCCATCTCAAAAAAAAAAAAAAAAAAAAAGATGAGGGGTCTTGAGAAAAATAAAAGCCAGGGAATTGACATAGTAATTTCATTGCAAAAATACCAAATCTGTCATACAGGGGCATTCTCTTTGACCCACTAGCTAGATACTAGTGTTATTCAGTCTGTTAGTTTCCATTACCTCTGAAATAATCCACAAAACTAGGCAGTTACCTGCATTTGGATTCCATTCCAATCAAGAATCCTTATCTTGGTACTTTTACAAGAAATGGAGAGCCATAGGGAGTAGCTATGAATATTTTAGAACCTGGAAAGGCTATCTTCCACTATAAATCGATAAACGACCCCATGCTTACAGTATATTCACATAATGTAATACTATGCTGGCATTAAAATCATATTTGCTTAGCTCCTTTTTTCATTTTTTGATGATGAATATGAACATTTTATATAAATAATTTTTCCCTAACAGAATGTGAATAGTCATTAGTAAGCTGATGAGCCCATCAGAGTACAGATGACTCCTGAGGTCCTACCTCAGTTGTCAATTGCAGCACTACTCTTTCCAACTTTACACTGGTACCTAACCTGCAGAAATGATCTGACAGACGGCATCATAAGCCATAATGGATGCAGTTAGTGTCTCCTCCTTGGGTGCTATACAGGAGTGACCATCACCAATAAAAATACAATTTGTAAGCAACTCTTTAAACAGACTCTCCTTGCTTTGAAGAACTGAAATAATTCTGAATGGAACAGCTGTAATCACTGTGAAGAGGATGTTTGCCAAGAAATAAGTTGTTAAGATGGAAATTCCAGCACTTCAAAAGATGGAATTTTAGCTGTCAGAATCCATCCACTGTTGAAACCTTTCTCTTCTATTGTAGTCAATCACCTCTCTTTTTCTGGTCTGATTTGTACTCTCCTTTTTGGCTTAAGCTCACAGAAGCATGTTAACATCCTCATCAGAGTCTGATAAGGCTGGTATCCAGCAGGATACAATATAAGAGCACACAGACCAGCTGGAGGAGGAATTCAGGTTGGCTCAAGGTGGAAAGGGATGGTCTGATCAGAGGAGCAGACAAGGCAAACAGAAGTATAGGGCAGAGAGAGAGAGAGAGTGAGAAAGAAGCTGTGCAAGGTGACTGGAACCAGTAAGGGTGGACAGACAACCCAGCCCCTAGCTAACAGGGCTGGCAGGAATGAAGAAGGAAAACAAACCCTAGCCAGCCTTCTGGAGCCAGGGTTATGCACTGTTTCCCAGCCACTCTTCCCCAACCCCCACTCCATAAGGTAAGAAACACAAATATACATGATATCCAGGCAGAAGGGATCCTGCCCAGCAGCCCCCTACTCCGGAAATTACCTGGAAGCTACATCACAAAGGCCATTCCCAAACTGAGCAGTTCCCATAGTAAAGGCTTCAGATGTTCTACCAAAGAGGCGAACTGTCTATCCACAACTATGTGATAAAGCAGTACAAAGATGAAACAGAAAAAGACAATTACTACAGACAGAATGAAGCATGAAGAATAGAACAGATGTGGGTTTGAATTCTACCTGGACCACTTTTCAGCTCTATGACCTTGCAGGGTTTGCCTGTTTTCCTCATCTGTAAAGTGGAGATAATACCTCACTCCTTCCTTAGTCAGAGACTGTCTAAAAAAAAAAAACACAAAACAAAGAAACCACCGATAACAAAATATGTCACTCCTAGAAATATTGTGATGTTAAGAAATAATGAAGAAAAGAGTGCCAAACAAAAGGCTTGGCAAATGCATCAAATTTCCTTGCATGGTTTGTTAAAACATTTTTAAGTAGCTGCTCTTTTCCTGTTAAAGAATCTTCCTAAGACTATAATTAATACCATCAAAATGACCATACTGCCCAAAGCAATCTATAGCTTCAACACAATCCCTATTAAAATATCAACATCATTTTTCACAAAATTGGAAAAAAACTATTCTAAAGTTCATATGGAACCAAAAAAGAATCCAAATAGCTAAAGCAATAGCAGCAAAAAGAACAAAGCTGGAGCATTTCCTTACTGCAAATTACACTACAGGGCTATAGTAATCAAAACAGCATGGTACTGCTGTTAAAAACAGACACATTGATCAATGGACAGAATAGAGAACCCAGAAAGCCACATACTTACAGCCAACTGATTTTTGGCAAAGTCAACAAGAACATACACTGAGGAAAGGATAATCTTCAATAAATGGTGCTGGGAAAATTGGACTGTGAAACTGGACTCCTATGTACAAAAATTTTGGATACCATGTACAAAAATTACTTGGAAATGGATTTAAGAGCTGAAGTAAAACCTCTTCCTCTATGCAGCCTGAGGTGATCTGGCTTAACCCAGAAAAAATCATGCAAATCAAGAGGCTCAAATCTTTGTGTTCACTTTCATAAACTGCCCAGACCATCAAAGGTATGCATATACAAAAAGCCACTAAGTATCTGAAAAATGTCACTTTTTTATTTTTAAGCTACACCTAGTGGAATGGGAGAAAGATGTCACTTTACAAAAACAGTATGTACAATTCAAACATTACAATGATAGAGTTGTCAGGTGTGCCCTGGCCAAACAGTGGAACTAGACAAAGTCAGTGGCCCAAAAAGACTATTGAATTTTTACTGTACATGCTTAAAAATGCAGAGTAATGGCTGGGCGCGGTGGCTCACGCCTGTAATCCCAGCACTTTGGGAGGCCGAGGCGGGTGGATCACTTGAGGTCAGGAATTCAAGACCAGCCTGGCCAACCTGAGAAAACCCCTTTTCTACTAAAAATACAAAACTTAGCTGGGCATCCTGGTGGGCACCTGTAATCTCAGCTACTCAGGAGGCTGAGGCAGGAGAATTGCTTGAACCTGGGAGGTGGAGGTTGCAGTGAGCTGAGATCATGCCACTGCACTCCAGCCTGAGCAACAGACTGAGACTCTGTCTCAAAGAAAAAAAAAAGCAGAGTAATGCTGAACTTAAGGATTTGGGTGTAGATTCTCTGGTCATTAAACATATCCAGGTGAACAAAGCATCCAAGATGCACCACCAGACTTCCAGAGTTCATACAGGAGCTCTCCCTGCCACACTGAGAAGATCCTTACTGAAAAGGAACAAATTGTTCCTAAAGCAGAAGAGGAGGTTGGATACAGAAAAAGATATCCCAAAAGAAACTGAAGAAACAAAAACTTATGGCACAGGATTAATTCAGCAAAAAAATAAATGCAATTAAAAGTAAAAAAAAAAAAAAAAAAGAAAAAAGGAAGACCTGAAACTATGAAAATACTAGAAGAAAACCTAGAGAAAACTCTTCTTCTAGATACTGGTCTAGGCAAAGAATTCTTGACTAAGATCTCAAAGCACAGGCAACAAAAACAAATATAGACAAATGGGACTAAACTAAAAAGCTTCTGCACAGCAAGAGAAATAATTAACAGAGTGAACAGACAGCCTTTGGAATGGGAGAAAATATTTGCAAATGATACAGCCTGCAGGGAACTAACATCCAGAATTTACAAGGAACTCAAACAACTTAACCAAAAACCCTCAAATGCCTGGGTAACATGGTGAAACCCCATCTCTACAAAAAAATACAAAAATCAACTGGGTATGGTGGTGTGTGCCTGTATTCCCAGATACTTGAGAGGCTGAGGTACGAGGATCATTTGAGCCTGGGAAGTTGAGGCTGCAGTGAGCAGTGACTGAGCCACTGCACTGCAGCCCAGGTGACAGAGCAGGACACACACACACACACACACACACACACACACACACACGTGCACGCCAAAAAGGCCAGGCATGGTGGCTCACGCCTGTAATCCCAGCACTTTGGCAGGCCGAGGTGGGTGGATCACCTGAGGTCAGGAGTTCCAGGCCAGCCTGGCCAACATGGTGAAACCCCATCTCTACTAAATACAAAAAATTAGCTGGGTGTGGTGGCGCATGCCTGTAATCCCAGCTATCTGGGAGGCTGAGGCAGGAGAATCCGCCCAGGAGGCAGAGGTTGCAGTGAGCCGAGATTGTGCCATTGCAGTCCAACCTGGGCAACAAGAGCAAAACTCGGTCTCAAAAAAAAAAAAAAAAAAAAGCCAAATAATCATCCCATTAACAAGTGGGTTTAGGGTAGGAACAGACATTTTTCAAAAGACAAACAAATAGCCAAGAAGCATATGAAAAAATGTTCAAAATCACTAGTCATCAGAAAAATTCAAATTAAAACCACAGTGAAACATCATCTTATACCAATCAGAATGGCTATTATTAAAGGACAAAAAATACATGTACAACATGGATGGAACTGGAGGTCATTATGCTAAGTGAAATAAGCCAGGCACAGAAAGACAAACGCTGCATCTTCTCTGTTCCCACTTATTTGTACAATCTAAACAGTTGAACTCATGGAGATAGAGAGTAGAAAGATGGTTACCAGAGGCCCAGAAGGGGGTTGTGCGGGGGAGGGGGGGAGGTAGGAATGGTTAATGGGCACATACGTAAAAAAATAGAAGGAATGAATAAGACCTAGTATTTGATAGCACAACAGGGTAAGCATAGTCAATAATTTAATTTTACATTGAAAAATAACTAAGAGTATAATTGGACTGTTTGTAACACAAAGGATAAATGCTTGAGGGGATGGATACACCATTTTCCATGAAGTGATTATTATACACTGCATGCCTGTATCAAAACATCTCATGTACCCCATAAATATATACACTTACTGTGTACCCACAAAAATTTAAAATAATTTTTTTAAAAAGGACAAAAAAATAACAGATGTTGGTAAGGATGCAGAGGAAAGTGAACGCTTATATACTTTTTGTTCTGTTTTATTTTGAGACAGAGTCTCGCTCTGTTGCCCAGGCTGGAGTGCAGTGCTACCATCACAGCTCACTGCAAGGTCAATCTCCCAGGCTCAAGCGATTCTCCTGCCTTGGCCTCCCAAGTAGCTGGGATTACAGGCACAAGCCACTATGCCCAGCTAATTTGTTGTATTTTTAGTAGAGACAAGGTTTCACCATGTTGCTGAGGCTGGTCTTGAACTCCTGGGCTCAAGAGATCCACCCATCTTGGCTTCCGAAAGTGCTGGGATTACAGGTGTGAGCCACCGCACCCAGCTCTTCTGTATTGTTGACGGGAATGCAAATCAATTAGTACAACCTGTATGGAAAACTATGGAGATTTCTTCGAGAACTAAAAATACGACTAACCTTTGATCCAGCAATCCCACTGCTGGGTATACACCCAAAGGAAATGAAATCATTATATCAAAAAGATACCTGCCCTTTTATGTTTATCACAGCTCTGTTCACAATATCAAACATATGGAATCGACTTAAGTGTCCATCAGTGGAGGACCGAATAAAGAAAATGTGTTATGTGTACACAATGAATACTACTCAGTCATAAAAAGATTGAGATCATGTCTTTTTCAGCAACATGTATAGAACCGGAGGCCATTATCTTAAGTGAAACAATTCAGACACAGACAAATACCACATGTTCTCACAAGTGGAAGCTAAATAATTTGTACAGAAGAAGCAGAGTGTGAAATGATGGACAATGAAGACTTGGAGGCATGGGGTGATAGATGATGGCAGGTTGCTTGGTGGGTACGAAGTGTGTTGCTCCACTGATGGATGCAATGAAGGCCTGACTTCACCACAATGCAGTATATTCATGTGACAAAACTGCACTTGTACTCCATGAGTATAAATATATATCTCTTCCTAATACTGGTATTTATCTGCCTACATAGAAAAATCTCCACTTAGAAAAGACCAACATAGAAAAACATGTTGTAAGCACCCCAAAAATAATTAATAAATGTATTCATTTTCAAAGACTGTATCCTATAGATTTTTGAGAGCGTAAATAAATGCCTTCTTAAATCTTGAATTTTTCTTCCCCTTAAAACAAGTACATCATGTAGTGAGAGTGAACAGTTATGTGTTTCAGATTTGAAAAGTAGAAATTTGAATGGAAACTGTTTCTTTTTTTTTCTGCATTTACTTCATGCATTTTATTTTTAGTTTTAGTTTTAGTTTTTCATAGAGACACCGTCTCACTATGTGGCCCAGGCTGGTCCTGAACTCCTGAACTCAAGCAATCCTTCTGCTTCGGCCTCCCAAAGTGCTGGAATTACAGGTGTGAGCCACCGTGTTCAGTCTACTTCATGTATTTTCAAAATAATCCTGAAAATGCATTCAGTAAAACCCCTCCACAAATTCATTATACTCAAATTCATAAGACATTCTCCTTGCCTAAACTGTCAGACTTAAACAGACAGGCGACAAGAAATAAACTCACAAGTTTTGGATTCTTTGCTTACAGATTGATCTAGATGTGTTTGAAATAGTTCTCAATCTAATAAATACCCAAACATACTGGCAATTTCCATATTATTGTATGTTACTACAATTTTTTCTGGCAAAAGGGAATCTCAAACTCATTATCTGTCAATGGCTAATTTCTGAAACAGATGATTTCTCAGCAATTAGGGAATGTTAAGCAAAATATTGTCAAAAATACTCCATTTTTATTTTTAAAACTAAAAATGCTTAAAATTCTAAGAGCAGAATAATTAAAACATTATTCTTGACATTATTTAAATGACTTTAGATACTCTTGCATTGTATGATCCTTTCATTTCCAAGCTTTAATTTTATTACTTAGTGATAATAGATATTCATATTTTAAAATAAAAATACAGTTTTAGGGCCGGGCACGGTGGCTCAGGCCTGTAGTCCCAGCACTTTGGGAAGCCGAGGTGGACGGATCACCTGAGGTCAGGAGTTTGAGACCAGCCTGGCCAACATGGTGAAACTCTGTCTCTACTAAAAATACAAAAATTAGCCAGACGTGGTGGCACATGCCTGTAATCCCAGCTACGCAGGAGGCTGAGGCAGGAAAACTGCTTGAACCTGGGAGGCGGAGGTTGCAGTGAGCCAAGATCGTGCCACTGCACTCCAGCCTGAGAGACAGAGGAAGACTCCGTCTGAAAAAAAAAAAAAAATTTAAAATATAAACTTTAACTTTGAAATTCTTAACTGAATTTCAGCACCTTTTAATTGCATAAATTCTACATGACTAAAGATTTCAATATTTTTTAATACAGGTTGAGTATCTTTTATCCAAAATGCTTGGGACCAACCAGAAGTGTTTCAGATTTCAGATTTTTTTTTTTTTGGATTTTGGAATATTTATATATACATAATGAGATATCTTAGGGATGAGACCCAAGTCTAAACACAAAATTGATTGTTTCATATACACCTTATAAACATAGCCTAAAGGTAATTTTATATAATAATTTTAATAATTTTATGCATTAAACAAAGTTTTGTCTGGACCTACAACTTGAGGTCTGGTGTGGAATTTTCCACTTTTGGTGTCATGTTAGCACTCAAAAAGTTTCGGAGTTGAAGCATTTCTGATTTCAGATTTTCAGATTAGGGATGTTCAATTTGTACCATTGTTATATTAATGAGTTGCCAATAAGATCAGTATTTGGGTTTGACCTATGGGATAGATGCTTGGGTGTGTCAGAAGACTTCTATATATGTAATTATTTACCAAAAGGCCAATAATGATGTTGAGATTTGACATGCCTGCCCATTAAGAGACAGCATTTGTGGGCCATAAAGAAGTCTAAAAGGCAATCTTGTATCATAAATAAGAGATGGACTTTTGAATGAGAGATCCTAGACTTAACACCTGCTTCTCCCACTTACTAGCTGTACAATGTTTGGTGAATTACTTAATCTCTTGGTTTCTGAGTTTCCTCGTCAGTAAAAAGGAGATTTTAAAAGTCCGTTGTTGCCTAGGACTGCTGTGAAGATTAACTTAGATAATGGATTGTACAGGGTACATTTAATCATCAGTCAGTGAATATTAATATTACACAAGTTATAGCATTCAACAACTAAAAAGTCCTTATCTGAAAATATTGGCATCTCTAAGTTCTAAACTGGGTAGAAATCCTAGATGTAAAATAAAAGGGAGTTTAATACAGAGTAACAGTAAGATAAATATTCATGAGAAGATTCATTCTAAATAGCTGACTGCTATTGATTTGGCTCTTGGCCCTCCCATATGCCCCCCCAAAATATCTTTAAAACTTAATATTGGTTGGGTTACCCTATAATAAAGTTTCCTTAAAGACTATCAAGAGGGCATACCTTATGTCATATCAAGTCCTATTATGGACACTTCTCTTTGCAGAGAATTAACTAAATACACGATCAGAGACAAAATGATTGAGGAAAAAACCCATCTATCACGGTAGAGTCTCCTGTATTATTTCCTGGCATTATATATATAGCTGCTATTGTCATCCTATTAGAATTATAAAACCTTTACTTTCCCAAATCTTACCTCTCTGACACCCAGCTCAGGATCACCTTTGTTTTAAAAAGAACAAAGGGTTCTCTCAGTCACTGAATGAGAATTTATTCCGTGAAAATACAGATAGTGCCACGCCCGGCCTTTCTGCCAGGCAGTGATGCCTGATACCAGAGCTTCTCACACTGTGGATATATTTGAACATATGAAACACCTGGGAATCTTGTTGAAATGCACATTCTGATTCAGTGGGTCTGGGGTGGGGCCTGCCTGAGATTCTGCATCTCTGGCAAGCTCTGCAGTGATGCTGCTGGTTCACATACACAGATCACACGTAGAAGTAGTGAGGATTGTGACAACCAGGTTGCTATATATAGTGTATGTGAGTGTGTGCGTACACATGCACTTATGTTAGAAGGCTAAAAATATTTCAGAAAATTTTAGAAGGGGAAAGCATTTTACTGCACTGTCCTAGAAACCTTATTTC
The DNA here is from genome assembly GCF_000001405.40 of Homo sapiens. Lineage (NCBI taxonomy): Eukaryota > Metazoa > Chordata > Mammalia > Primates > Hominidae > Homo > Homo sapiens. The sequence goes on from NC_000004.12 coordinate 110,152,873, forward strand.
AAAATGAACATTTCATTCTTTCAAAATTTGCTTTTTCAAATTAGCAAAGACAATCCTTCGTCTCTCAAAAGGAGGATGCCAAACCTATGTGACCCCTCCGTGAGTATAAACACTGGTCTATTGAAGAGCAGGAATGACACAGTAGTTGACGAACCACTTCTTTTTGATGTGCCTTTGGGTATGGTTTTGAAAATAAGAAATTCACATTTTAATGATGATCAGGCAGCACAACCTGTGTCAGCTTGTAAGTAGGAAACCAGAACCCTGACAGAGATGAAGAAACAATTATAACCAAAATGTACATTATGAAAACTTTCTGGTATCACTGTTAAGATTTAATAATAATAGTGAAAAGGGAATTATAATTACAGTAAAATTGTGGTACACATACCATTCTGCAGAAAGTAGGTAGCTTCCATAACTTATGAGACCTTATACATAATTTAATTTTTTGCTCAAAATATTAATCTTCAAAATACAATGACAGCAATTACTACCTACTTATCTCTTTTGAGTGATTTAAACTTTAATAGTGTGATAATTTAAATGCTACTTATAGATGGTGGGCTAAAACTTAATTGATAATTAATAGTGGAGGATTAAAAATTGCCACAGTTACAGATGATGAGAAATGTACTTATTGACATAAAATCCAACAAGGGTGATCAGCTGAAAATGCCATGTAAAAAAAATTATAGCCAATAAATGCTCCTTTCAGATTCATAAGCTGTTGACACATTTTACCCTTTATGTAAATCCCATTCTTAAAACAGTTTTCTTCTTGGCACCCTGAAATTGAAGCTTTTGAAACCTTATGCTCCAACATATATAGAGAAATGAAAAACTGTTATAATTTTTAAAATTTTAAGAGTGGTTTTGCAGATTTAAACTAACAGATCTTCATTTAAAGTAGGATCCACAGAGCTCTCCAGTGTCATTCCTGAAATAACTAGAAGTGGAATAATGGGCTATTTCTTACTTTGTAGTTTCTAATGCAATGTAAGCAGCTTTACAAGGCTTAGCTGTCCCCACTGCCCTAACAGCATTCTTTACTTCATTTGCAAGGAAACAGGAAGTTTTTTTCTCCCCAATTTTATACCAAGGCACAGACTTTGTCTATTAAAATTACCAATTCCACTTTTATTTAGTAAAATTAAGAAATTTTAAAAGTACCAGGCTTTTTGTCCATCAATATTAATTTCTTTTCTTTTGTTTTCTTTTTCTGAGATAGTCTTACTCTGTCACCCAGGGTGGTGTGCAATGGCGCAATCATGGCTCACCACAGCCTTCACATTCTAGGCTCAAGTGATCCTCCCACCTCAGCCTCCCAAGTAGCTGGGACTATAGGTGTGTGACACCACACCCAGCTAATATTTTATTTTATTTATTATTTTATTTTTTGATACAGAGTCTCACTGTATCTCCCAGGCTGGAGTGCAGTGGTGCGCTATCAGCTCACTGCAGCCTCCGCCTCCCAGGTTCAGGTGATTCTCCTGCCTCAGCCTCCGAGCAGCTGGGATTACAGACATGCACCATCACACCTGACTAATTTTTGTATTTTTAGTAGAGGCAGGATTTCACCATATTGGCCAGGCTGGTCGTGAACTCCTGGCCTCATGTGATCCTCCTGCCTTGGCCTCCCAAAGAGCTGGGATTACAGGCATGAGCCTCCACACCTGGCCTATTTTTATTATTAATAGAGACAAGCTCTTGTGTGTTGCCCAGGCTGTGATATTAATTTCTTGATGTGAACATGTGATTGCCTCTCAGCAAAGTTATTTTTTGAGCTATTTCTGTCATCAGACCCAAACCGAATTTCTTACCAGCTGCTAACTTTTCTCTTACACCATCCCCACTGAGTTGAGAAGATGGCTTGGTGCTACATGAAAGGGAAGTGGCAGTGTAACCACCAAAACAGATAATCACAGGCTATAATGTCACACTAACTATGGATCCTATCTCTTATTTGTAATTAACTTGGAGAAGAAATGCTAGGTCAAAAATGTGCTAGAGGTCAAAACAGGGACTTTCCACAAAGAGAGATCTGAGTCCAACTTTTACTTTTTTGACAGTTATCAATCCTGTGACTGATTCTTGCAGCATTATTTGAGAATTAAATGAGCAATATATTTTAAGCACGTTAGGCACTTAATATATGCTTGCTACAATATATTGTACTATACAATCTACATAGCATATACTGCTATTATATACTAATATATAATTGCCCAATAAATATTTAGCAAATTTGGGGCATAACTAGTAATATATTTTTTAAACTTCTATGAACATTTAATTTTGAAGTACCTATTGACCACACTCACATAGACCAAAACTTTTACTTCTTAAAAGTTTTTCAATTATAAATTATTATGATTGTTTTTTAAGAATCAAATCATAATGGTCATGGCTTTAAAAATCTTCCTACATTTGGTCACATACTATTTATTACATATTATATAGTTATAGTTATACTAATACAGAAGGGATAGCCCTAGAGACTGAGAGCATAGGAAACTCCTAATCTATAGCAAAAAAAATTATTATTTACAATAGTCAGAAAAAAATAATTTTTCAATCTATCAAAGATACTTAAATAGGTTGTATTACAAATTGAATATTTTACAAAATCAAAGTTTAACAATTTGTATCACAAATATCAGAATTTATCTATGCGATTGAGCTTTTTTGGAACACTTATTTTTCCTCTAACACAATGCCATTCTTTCCAGACAGTAAGAGTCCCAAGTCGTCCTGGTTCATATATCCATATCTAGACCCCGAGACAGTTCAATATGCATGATACAATGGCTACATATTGCAGGTACATTTAAAATAATCAGAATTGCTAGAGAGCTTGGGGGCAGATCAACAACCTCCTCGTATCTAACATCTTCCTAAACCACAGGTTCTCATCACATCTCCTGGAGAGATTTATTAACCTCCCACCCCCACTTCCACAGATGTCAAGGCCTCAGCACTGGTGATTATAAAAGGTTCCCAGACAATTACAACACGGGAAGCACAGCTCATGTTGAGAACCACTGCCCTGAATAATGAGCGTTGCTACAAGGCAGTATAGGAATAATAAAGCACACAGGCATTTGAAAAAGACATTTTGCAAACTTCTCTCAGGAATAGTGCCTTAGTGGGCACATATCCAAATATGCCTGCTTTCCTTTCTTTAAATACCTATTCAAGAGACAAATAAAGGAATAGAAAATAAGAAGGGGAAGACAAGAAAACTGGAGGCTGCACCAGAGCCACCTTGAAAATGTAAAGGATTGGTGGTTGTTACAGAGCCTGCCACATTTAGTAGAATCTTAATATTCAGGAAGTTAAAATGTTTTCTGGAGTGAGAAGCTGTGTCAGGAAAAGAGGATTAGGTAACAAGTGACCTAGAATTAGGATGTGATTCTCCCTGAAGGATTGCTGCAGAGGAGATAATGAAAGGTAAGGGCTTTTCCAAGACATTTCCACATTGGACTGACCTCCATCTAAAATCTTACTAAATATTAACACAAATAAAAGGGTTCTGGCTGGGCACAGTGGCTCATGCCTATAATCCCAGCAGAAGTCAAGGGTGGAGGATCACTTGAGCCTAGGAGTTCGAGACTAGCCTAGGGAACCTAGAGAGACCCCGTCTCCACAAAAAATTAAAAAATTAGCCAGGCATGGCACCAAGCATCTGCAGTCTCGACTACTCAGAAGGCTGAGGTGGGAGGATCACTTGAGCCCAGGAGACTGAGGCTCCAGTGAGCTAGGATTGCACCACTGCACTCCAGCCTGGGCAACAGAGCGAGACCCTGCCTCAAAAAAACAGAAAAAGAAACGGGCCCATGTAATAAAGCACATGCTTCTTTTTCAGGACAGAAGAGACAAGTGGATTGAATTCATTTCTTTAAGCAGTTAGTTTTATACTACCTTAGTAAGTAAAATAGGATTAACGAGTATCTGCCTTGGAACAAAATATATCATAAAACTGAAAAGCATCCACACTGAAAACACAAAATTAGTCCTCAAAGAAATCTTTCATATGGTAACCAGTAACTGGATATTTGCGGTTAAAAGAAGCCATAACAAGGCTGGTAAAAGATGCAGTTTCCTTAGTCACATAATTGATTTGTAACAACTGATAGAAACTGGCTAATCATCATTCTGATTAATCATTTTTGGCAGATTTGAAAAGGAGGATAGTCCAAAAGTAAATGGCCATCTGGGTCACTGCCCATTTGGGGTTCTTCTAGCAAGGCCAAGAAGAAGGAGGAGGGAAAAGAAAGGCTCAAACATTTTATTCGCCCCTAGTGTCAAGTAACCACAAACTTCATTTGTTCCCTCTATAATTTATTGCAAAAAGTAGGAGAAACTGAAGCATAATATGAAATTAATTTGGTACATACAATGTGAAGCAAAAATAGTTATTCCACTTTGAGCTGGTAAAATGCCAAATAATAGTACACAGTAATTAGAGGGAGGGAAAAGAAGTGACTGAATACTCTAAAATATGTCTTGGATAGGCCAGGTGCGGTGACTCATGCCTGTAATCCCAGCATTTTGGGAGGCCGAGGCAGGTGGATCAAGTGAGGTCAGGAGTTCAAGACCAGCCTGGCCAAGATAGTGAAACCCCGTCTCTACTAAAAATGCAAAAATTAGCTGCACGTGGTGGCATGCACCTGTAGTCCCAGCTACTCATGAGGCTGAGGCAGGAGAATTGCTTGAACCTGGGAGGCGGAGGTTGCAGTGAGCTGAGATAGCGCCACTGCACTCCAGCCTGGGTGAAAGAGCAAGGCTCCGTCTCAAAAAAAAAAAAAATTTCTTGGATATTTTATTTCCTTAAGAAAATCATCAACTCAATAAACATTTACTGAGTGCCAACTACCTCAAGGAATTATAGTATCTGCTATGGAAGCTGTAAAGCTATGTGCCCTCAGGGAACTACACATGTTGAAATAGCCTAAATGGCACTTTGTTAGTCTCATTATATTGACAAGCAAATTATTAAAAGTAGGAAATATATATTCATGAAGAAGTGGACCAGCACTTTGTCTTTGACAGGGCAAATCCTTTTCTAGGTACAAGAAGAATTAACTAAATACATTTAAATAATCATTAAATATCCAATTACTTTATATATAAACACAAAGATAAACCAAAGTTCATGGATATAGTACATTGAAACTGTATTTGTCAAGTTAGTTAATTATGCTTTAACACATGGTTTCAGAAAATCATTATATTATGCTCTTGCCCTTGTTGGCAATTTGACACTTTTAACATGTTATTAACAAAAATCCAAACATACTATACAACCCTATTCTGCTTTATATTATGAAAAGTTCATCTTTCCACATCACTACATATTCATCCATCTCCACAGAAATAGATAACTACAGTAAAGAACAACCTAGTGGACCATTGTGTGCACAGTCTATAATTCAATAAACCCCATTTTGAAGATCACAAACATTTTTAACTAAACATCATGTGCTTTATTTTGTAGCACCTGTGAGATCAACCTACACATTTCCTCTAATCATACTAGGTTTACTGAGAAGGAACACAACTCTTAGGAAGAAAAACTCCACACTCATTAACATTTTTCTGTATCCCGAGGGCACGATCAGTCAAGAACCAGGACAAAATTTAATAACCATTCTCTAATTGGCAGCCAAGATATTGGAGAGAGATATATATATACATCTATATATATATGTATATATATACACACACACACATATATATACACACACATATATACACGTGTATATATATATATATATATATATTTTTTTTTTTTTTTTTTTTGAGACAGAATTTCGCTCTTGTTGCCCAGGCTGGAGTGCAATGGCACAATCTCAGCTCACTGCAACCTTCACCTCCCAAGTTCAAGGGATTCTCCTGCCTCAGTCTCCCAAGTAGCTGGGACTACAGGCGCATGCCACTATGCCCGGCTAATTTCTGTATTTTTAGTAGAGATGGGGTTTCGCCACGTTGGCCAGGCTAGTCTTCAACTCCTGACCTCAGGTGATCCGCCTGCCTTGGCCTCCCAAAGTGCTGGGATTACAGGCATGAGCCACCGTGCCTGGCCAAGATATTGGATTACTAAGTTAAACAAATAGTCATGACTCACAAAATCTGAATCTCAGCTCTTACTTTGCATAGTTGCTTTGCTTTTTATCAATTTTAATCACTTCTAGACTTACATTGTGATTTGCATAGATTTTTCTCTCTTTTACCTGTAAAACTGAGACAATAATTATATACCTGACAGCATGAAGATAGTGTCATGCTGGAATATTAGATACTTTATTTAAATAAAGATTTTCCTTTATGCATTTAGTCAATACACTTTTATGGAGTGCCTTCCATGTGCCCAGATACCAGGGCAAACCCAGGGGAACAAGACAGACAAAAATCTGTCATGGGATTTATAGTACAAGAGAACTATTAGTTAACAATATATGAGAGGACAATGATAATAACTTGATGACAAAAGTTACTTTGCTTAATCATGTAAAGTAGAAAAAGAAGTTATCTTTCAATTAAATTTGTATGGTTTTAATTTTTTACTATAGAAATAAAGTACACAGTTTTTCTTTTTTTTTTAAAAGTCAAGTAACACAGGGAGTTGTAAAATAAAAGCCAAGTCTCCTTCTCTTTCCTAATGAACTCTCTTCCACTTCAGATTTTTATGCATATTCACGTATCAATAAATGCATATACTTTCTAAAAATCATATTTTAAAAACTATCGTGCATCTTGGTGTTTTTCACTTTACAATGATGTATCTTTGAGATCTTTGCACATTAACACATGAGACGTTGGTGTTTCTAACAGTTACAGAGAATGCAAAGTCACCCTGCAAAAGGATTCCAAAATGTACAAAAATTCACACTTTCAACAGCACATTTCTCTCTAACACTCAGATGACTGCTCAAAAATTTTAACCTCTCACAATCTAAAAGATGAAAGTGTATCTCATTGCTATTTTATTTTTTCCGTTATGAGTATATTTAGGCATTTTTTCACATGTCTACTGAAAGAAATGGCTAAAAAAAATTTCCTTTCCTGTGAACTTTCTATTCATGTCGTTATTATTGAGCTATATTTTTCTTATGGATTGGTACGACCTCTTTTAACATTAGGAAAAGTGGCACCTAAAGAAAAACACTTAAACATCAAAGTTTTCTAAAAAACAACACATGAGGGTTTGCTTACAACTTACACACACACACACACAAACACACACACACACACACAAACACTATTGGATGTCTTTTTAACAGTGTATCTTGGAGATCTTTCCATGACAGTGTTGCTCCTGACACCCTGTCTCCCTTGACAAAGAAGCTCCTTACAGGTAGAGCATTTTCACTGGCCCTCTCCTTGGCCTTGAATTTCAAAACTGGCATAGATCACTCTCACTATTTTATAGCCTTTGCTCAATATTGTTTTCCTGAACATCCCTGCAAAATTATATCTTCCTTCCACTGGCCCACCCACCCCTGACTTCCTGTGTTGCTTTACTCATTAGCAGGAATCGCTATCAGACATGCTATGTATATACAAACTATAATAATATATTACTTATTGGTCTATGGTCTATCTCTTGTTACTGAAATGAAGTCAGGGATTAAAAACAGTATCAGTAAATAATTTGCATAGGCGTGCTAGTTTACAAGCTTCCATCAACACCAGTCTCATGGTGGTTAAGCTTCAGATATTTTTGATTTACTGAAATTATCCTCTCTAGGCTATTGTAACAATTAAATACTAAAAATATGCATGTTGCCCATATGTTGTTGCAATGTGCACTTTTGAAATACATTGTTTTCTATAGAAAGTTTAATTACAAAGGGAAATTAATAAATTCCTTCATGTGAAACACTGACTATATTCCACAGTGAAGATAAGGATAAGAGATATGATCATGCAACAAATAAAAGGGTTGGGAAACAGCTAAACAGAGAGAAGGAATGCAAGCATCTCACACACTGACTGACTCCTTTATGGTTTTAATTGTTGCTTTTCTATTCAGTGGAGTCTTGCACCTTATTGGTTTCTCCAACAGAGTAGATCAGTACTAAAGAATAAATAGAATTCAAGTCATTATCCAGTACAATTAGCAATGGATGCTGCTACATGAAAGAATGCTATCTATTCCCTCTTGTAATGGTGGTAGAGAGGTATAATATACAACCATTACAGAAGACAGTATCTAGCAACATTTCCAGTGCAATGTAATCCAAGTAATAAAAGACTGGAAAAAAACACAAACGCCCATGTAATGGATTATATACAGCCTGAACAATATAGAATGCAGAAGCTCGTAGTTTACTCAAATGAAATATGTCTGTGTATGTATAAAATATCTTCAAGATGCACTGTTAAGTCCATAGAGTAAGATACAAAATGCTATGTATTATATACTAGCATTTGTGTTCTTAAAGGAAAAAAATATATAGTCAATCCTCATTCACTGATTCTGTATTTGCAAATTCTCCTACTTATGAAAATTTAACCCCAAGTCTATACTGATGGCACTTTCATGGTCATTTTCAAACATGCACAGAGGGATGAAAAATTGGAGTTGCCTGACCTGCACATCCCCAGCTGAGGTGGAGCAAGGTGACACACTGCCTCCTGTTCAGCTCTCATACTGCAAAATAGGTGTCTCTTTTGCAGTCTTATTTAGTTCCATGTCTTTCCAATTTTTGTGCTTTGTGTTGGCAATTTCACGGTTTAAAATGGCTCCCAAGCTTACTGCTATCTCATGTTCCTAAGAACGAGAAGGCTTCAACAGGTCTTACAGAGAAACTACGTATGTTAGATAAGCTTCATTCAGGCATGAGTTAGTGCTGTTGGCTGTGAGTTCCATGTTAAGGAATCAACAATATATGTTAAATAAGGTATTTTAAGCAGAAACACACACAAAACTAGGTTATGTGTTGATCAGAAATATTGTAACCAAAAGCTCTCAGGAAACTAACGCTGTATTTCCCTAAGTGCAAGGGTTCCATATTCACAAGTTCAGTGTTTGCGGTGACTTTACAGAACATATCTACCTGGAATAATGAGAATCTCATTATTTGTAATTGCTTTTGTGCACACAAAACATCTCTGAAGAGCACACTGGCTATCCGCAGGGAGGAGAATTGTGTGGTTGGGGAAAGGGATGTAGTCCTTTATATAAAATACTTTTTCACTGCATACCCTTGTGGAACATTTTAAATTTTATACCATGCCTAGTTTATAATTGTTTTAATCTAAAGTTAAAAAATAAACTAAAAGAATGCTAACAGTAGAAAACTGAGCAAATGATTGAAAGATTACCCATAGTAAAATTAATTATAAAGGTAACAGACAACCAAAATTTTTTCTTAATTTTAGTCAGACTCAGTAAAACTTTAATGTAGTGATTTCAAGAGGCTGTGCTGAACCATTTTGCTGAATATAGACATCTTGTGGGTTGTGGGTTTATTTTATTTTTTGAGACAGGGTCTCAATGTGTTGCCCAGGCTGGAGTGCAGTGGCGCAATCACAGCTCACTGTAGCCTTGAGCTCTTCAGGCTCAGGTGATCCTCCCACCTCAGCCTTCTGAGTTGTTGAGACTACAGGCACATGCCACTATGCCTAATTTTTTTTCTATTTTTTGGATACAGGGTTTTGCTATGTTGCCCAAGCTAGTCTCCAACTCCTAGGCTCATGCAATCCCACCCACCTCAGCCTCCCAAAGTGCTGGGATTACAGGTGTGAACAACTGTGCCAGGCCTGAATATATAGATATTTTGGATGACTGTTTTCCCCAGAAAATTAAAGTTGCCATTTTCCTCCTGCCTCCCTACAGGAGGTTAATGAATGTGCTGAAGTACGCCAAATTTTAAGGTACACAAATGTGATATGCAACATAATAAATTCCACTGTTTACTGAGCTTCTACTACATACTAGTTAATAGACATTATTTAATTAGATTTTCACAACTCTGCAAAGCAGTTATTGGGACACTCATTGATGAAGAGAAAACTGAGTCTTCAGGAGTGAACAATTTACTTGAGGTCACCCAGATAGTCAGTGGTGCAGCTGGGGTTTGAACTAAATGGTCTGTGTCCAAGACTATGTAGGGGAAAATCAGTCCCTGTGAATGAAGAAAGACCCAATCATTTAGATAAAAATAGTACAGAATCACACTGAGAATATATGAACTCCAAACTACAATTCAAATGTGCAATCAATATCTGAGGTATTCAGACACAAAACAGAAAGCAGAAGCCTACTTGGGTGCGAAGCCATACACAGTTCACCTGAGGGGGCTTTGTATTTGTTGTGTCCTATCTGGATCTCTCTTCTCCTAGATGGGCCCAGGGCTAACATGGTCTTCTCATTTGCTACTAGGTCAGATGCCAATCCTTTAGTAAGGCTTTCCCTGACCCCCTAGCTAAAACAGCTCCCTCTGGCCCCAAGTCACCTCCTATCACACTATTTTCTTTATAGCAGTTAGCAACATCTAATGTTATTTTGTCTATATACTTGTTTACATGTTTAGTGTTTGTGTCCTAGTGGTATGAACGGTCTCTGAGAACAGCGGCCTTGTGCCTGGAACAGAGTCTGGCAAATACAGGCTCCTCAATAAATATTCATCAAACTGAGTCACTGAAATTTAACAGTTATGGACTGACCGCATAGTGTAGCAGACTGGGATGAAGGCCAAGTCTTATCATCAATGAGTATAAAATGCTAGAAGGGTGATATACAAGTCACAACTGACTTTAATATGAGAAAATCTACCACTGCCAAATGAAAAGCAAAAATGGAAGAGTTTAAGATTAAAAGTTCAAAACCTTAAAAGGTTGTATGAAGGTGGCAGCACTGAGTTGGGCTTTCTAAGTTTCAGAAATAGAGAAAGAAGAGAGATATTCCAGTGGTTTAATTTGCCAGGGTCATAAGATACTTATAGAGCAATGGGAGAACTAACTGTAAGATCGAATGGTGAGTTAAGGTCAAGGAATCTTCCTTATCAGGTGGGTAAATCTGAGTCATAGTGACAGGCAATTTGGGAGCAATGAAAAGTTCTTAGCCCTGGTTGTGACATGACATTTCTGAATGTGTAATGAGAAGTTCAAAAATGTTGGCTAGGAATTCATTACTCAGTTGAAAGCAAAATAATACTAAAATATCTGCTGAGAGTCATGCCAGTAAAAGCTACTTTTCATGGAGAGCCTAGAAAGTGCTGGACATTTTGTAAGCCATTGACACACCTTAACTAGTTTAATTATTACTACAGCCTAATTTGATTATCTCAATTTCACACTTAGAAATGGGGGCCTAGGGAGGTTAATGAATGTGCTCAAGTTCACCAAGTCATTAAGTAGCAAAGGCAGAATTGAAACTGTGTCTGAATCCACAGGTCCCAGAGTTTGATACACTGCTGCCCTGATGACAAGTTAAGGTGAGGGAAGATGAAGCCAAGGCCACCCTAGGAAAGGAAAAAGTAAAACGGTTTGTATAGCATGAGTATTCTGAGCTAGGCACTAAGGAAACACTTTGACCTAACTCAGCTTTCATAAGTCTGCCACAAGATGCCATGAACATTTGTCACAAGAAAGCAAGCACAGCCGGGTGAGGTGGCTCATGCCTGTAATCCCAGCACTTTGGGAAGCCAAGGCAGAAACAAGCTGAGGCAACGTGGCGAAAGCCCATCTCTACAAAAAATAGAAAAATTAGCCCGGTGTGGTGGCATGCACCTGTAGTCCCAGCTACTCAGGAGGATGAGGTGGGAGGACCGCTTGAGCCCAGGGAGGTCAAGGCTACAATGAGCCATGATCACGCCACTGCACTCCAGCCTGGGTGAAAGTGGGACCCTGTCTCAAAAAAAAAAAAAAAAAGAAAAAAAAAAAAACACTCAGGTTGGAAGGCAGGTGGGTTGGTAGGCTGCTCATTTATTTCTGATGAAAGAATTTCTTGTTTTGGGGAATTTCTTTTTTTTGAGACAGAGTCTCACTCTGTTGCCCAGGTTGGAGTGCAGTAGCACAATCACAGCTCACTACAACCTCTGCCCCCCAGGCTCAAGCAATCCTCCCACCTCAACCTCTCGAGGAGCTGGGACTACACGTGCACCCCACCACACCCAACTAAGAAAGGATTTCCTGAATGTAATGTGGTATGTGGCCTTTCTGTGCATTTAGTCTTTATCATGCCACCCAAATTGTGGTAAACATATAAGCTTGTAGAGCAGGTTTGATCTCTATTCTTCAAAAAGAGGACTGGTTTCTGACTAGCTGGACTAGCAAAACAGACCATTTGCTAGATATCTACAAACTATAAGCAACCCTCTCCATTATCCTCTCACAGAAAACAATACCAGGGCACCTGTTTAGTGGAACCATGTGCTATTGCCATTCATAGGCCAAAATAGTTAAGTATCGACAATTTACAGGAGGCCCTTCCACCATTATGTTCCTGATTTTGTGGTTCCTTCCTGTCTAGCAGACCTACTCCAACTCCTTAGCCTGGCTTCCAAGCTTCCAATCGACCCTCACAACCCAACTTTATTCCTCAAACCCCACATAAACCTTAGTCAGGCCAGGCTGATTCTCCTCTCAGCTACTGCTGCTCATCAAATCCTCCATTTTAATAGCACTGCAAGAAACAGGAGGGATGAGCTCAGGTTGTCTAGCTCAGAGACACAGCAGCCTGCACTTCAGCTTTGTTCTCTGTAGCACATGTGGCTGTGGTAGGCAGGAAGTAGCATGGTCTCAGGAGCTGGGCGGTTCTAATCTCATCTGAATCACACACAGAGATGAGTTAATCACTTCTTTGAGAGTCAGCTTCCTCAACTATAAAATAACAATTATGATGCATTCCTGTCAGAACTAACAGGAGGATTTTTGTAATAAAGTATGTGGAGCTGGCCAGGTAACACCTGCCTTGCAAAACCAAACATTTACCCATGCATTGGAGTGAACCCAAGGCTAATTCCCCAAGGACAATCCTATATCCTCTGCCAGAAGAGTTTAGCACATCTGGGAAGTGGGAAAAGAGGGTGGTCTTTTCCACGTAAGAAAACCAGTTAGGCTTCTCTACATCCCTAACAAATTATCAACCCACGATCCTGCTTTCAATACATCTGCCTCCTCTGTCAGTGACAGAGCCTCAGCACTCCTGGGACAGCTTATCAACAAAAGCCCAGCTCAGAGCTGATCTGGAGGAAAGATACTGTCAGCCTTCCCCTGGGTACTATAAATCCCAGCCTGCTATCAAGTGAGATCCTAGAGAAGTTGCTCAAGGCACATTCATTTCGCCCCTGGACTGCAGTGTTCTTTGACATTATATCCCTGATTTTCCTTCAAATGTTGTTGTCTTTGGGCTAGGACCTTGGTTTGTTCTTAACTTACTTGAGCAATAATGAGACATCACCTTTCTTTTCAGATAACAAGAATTCTCTTAAATTCTTGTGTTTCAGCCAGGCGCGGTGGCTCACGCCTGTAATCCCAGCACTTTGGGAGGCCAAGGCAGGTGGATCACGAGGTCAAGAGATCGAGACCATCCCGGCCAACAACCGTGAAACCCCATCTCTACTAAAAATATAAAAATTACCTGGGTGTGGTGGTACGCGCCCTGTAGTCCCAGCTACTAGAAGGGCTAAGGCAGGAGAATCGCTTGAACCCGGGAGGAGGGGTTGTAAATGAGCCGAGATCGCGCCACTGCACTCCAGCCTGGTGACAGTGAAACTCCGTCTCAAAAAAAAGAAAAAATTCTTGTGTTTCCACTTTTGCCCTTGCTGCCAGAAGGCAATGAACACTGCCTGTTAATCTCAGCATGGTCAGCCCTCATGGTTAGCATATAAGACATCATGAGTATTCTGGTGCTACCACCATGAAAGGAAACTCCGTCTTCCTTTTTCATCAACCCAACTATTAGCTCTCAAAGTCCCTGCCTTTTGCTGGAGTGTTTCTAAATTTCTTAGCACATAGTGATTTTCTATACTATAGTTACTATAATACTATATTCCAGCACTGGAATATTTGTTCTTTTTCTGTAGCATTCTACTGTATTTTGCATGTACATCTGCCTTCCTAAACAGACTGTGATCCAAATAAGTTGAAATATATACAGAGGGTCTGTCTGTCTGCCAATGCTAGGACATTGCCTTCTATTTCTTTGTCTTCTCACCTGTCTCCTGCATGTCAGGCACACTCTCATCATTTAGTAATCACCAGCTGACTTGACCCAAGAAGACCAAACAGTCTGAATGCACACAGTAGCTGAAGATCACAGGGTTTCAGTATCTCTCCACTGGCAAAAATATTAGGTGCATTGAGACACACTTCTGGTTCTCAGGAATAAAAACTTTATCCCATCTTCAAAATGTAATCGCTATTAGAGTATTTTTACATGCACAGTAAAAGGACTTGTGTTTTAGTACATACAGCGTTAAGTACTTAACCTTATACTAACTGTAAATATGTCTCTCTCTGTGTGTGTTTACAAATTGGCCTTGTTATTATACATGCTGTTTCATAAGCAGAGTTTTCTGCAACATGTGGTATACATTTTTTTTGTCAAGATATATTCTTCTATAATATAGTTTTAATGGTTACATAAGAGTTACTAAAGGATGTTTTTTTGGTTGCAGAGAGGGGAGTGAAGGGGGAACATTATAAATTTTATTTATTTTCTTGAGGCAGAGTCTCACTCTGTTGCCCAGGCTGGAGTGCAGTGGTGCAATGATCCTCAGCTTCCACAAGTAGCTGGGACTACAGGGTGCCTGCCACCACCTCAGTTATGTATGTATGTATGTATGTATGTATGTATGTATGTATGTATGTATGTATGTATGTTTGTATGTAGAGACAGGGTCTCCCTGTGCTGCTCAGGCTGGTCTCAAACTCCTGGCCTCAAGCCATCCTCCCACCCTGGCCTCCCAAAGTGCTGGGATTACAGGCGTGAGCTGCTGCACCCAACCTCTCTTATGCTTTTGGAGAGAAAAAATAAAACACCTATCTCCATGATTAGGGCTATTCTAACAGTTTGTACAAAACTTTCTGAGGCCTTGAGAGGCAGAAACATATCCAGGCAATTAAGGAAGTTCTTTCTTGTATTTTTGATATATAATTTTAGATTAAATGCTTAATTCCAATTGGAAGGTATAGTTAGAAAACGTCTACTACTTAAGATTAATATTTTAGTGGAAATTTTGTCTTTGTATCAATTTATGAACAGAGCCAAAATTTAAGTGAACATAAAAGAGATTCAATGAAAAAAAGTTAAAACCCTTTGAGAGTAAATCATTTTTAGGTGTATTTTTAGCTTATTGCATGAGAATTATATGGCTATAAATCATTAGAGTAAGGGTCAAATTCAGGCCAGTGTGATGGCTCATGCCTGTAATCCCAGCACTTTGGGAGTCTGAGGTGGGCAGATTGCTGGAAGCCCAGAGTTCGAGACCGGCTTGGGCAACAAGGCGAAACCCCGTCTCTACTAAAAAAATATGCAAAAGTTAGCTAGGCATGGTGTTGCATGCCTGTAATCCCAGCTACTTGGGTGACTGAGGCACAAAAATCACTTGAACCCAGGAGGCAGAGGCTGCTGTGAGCCAAGATCGTGCCATTGTACTCCAGCCTGGGCGACAGAGCAAGACTGTCTAAAAAAGAAAAAAAAAAAAAGTCAAATTCAATGGATGCAATCAGAACTTTTTCAAAAACTGCTCTCACGTGCTTTCATTGTGCAGAGCTCATTTAAACAAAATGAGCCCCACCATATGCTTTTCAAAATATCACCTTTGAAAATGGTTTCTGTAATTTTCCCAGTAGGTGCTGACGTCATAAGCCAAAGCAGGAGAGACCCAGACTCTGTGGACAGGCAGTGTGGACCTAGACTGCCTGGGTTTGAAGCCTCACTCTGCCAATCACCAGGTGTCCCACCTTTTCCAAGTTACTTAACCTCATCTCCAAGACATGCCCAATCACAAAGCCTACTTCATAAAATGGAGGGTTAATTAAATTAATGTTCATGAAGCCTTTAGTGGGTACGTGGTAAGCTCAATGATTATTAGTTAATAATATCCTTATTAAACGTCCAGTAAGTCTTTTTTAAATGTTATTTTCTTTGAGAAAGGGTCTCACTCTGTCACCCAGGCTGGTTTGCAATGGCACCATCATGGCTTACTGTAGCCTAGACCTCTTGGGCTCAAGCAATTCTCCCATCTCAGCCTCCCAAGTTGCTGGGACTGCAGGTGTATGCCACCACACCTGGCTAATTTTTGTATTTTTGGTAGAGACAGGGTCCACCCACCTTGGCCTCCCAAAGTGCTAGAATTACAGGTGTGAGCCACTGCACCCGACCCCAACAGAGTTTTGGGGTTTTTTGTTTTGTTTTTTTTTTTTTGAGACGGAGTCTCGCTCTGCCACCCAGGTTGGAGTGCAGTGGTGCGATCTCGGCTCACTGCAATCTCTACCTCCTGGGTTCAAGTGATTCTCCTGCCTTAGCCTCCCTAGTAGCTGGGACTACAGGTGCCTAACACCATGCCCAGCTAATTTTTGTATTTTTAGTAGAGATGGGATTTCACCATGTTGGCCAGGCTGGCTGGCCTGTAACTCCTGACCTCAGGTGATCCACACACCTCAGCCTCCCAAAGTGCTGGGATTACAGGCGTGAGCCACCATGCCTGGCCAGCCCAATAGAAGTCTTTAAATAAGTATTATTCAGAATTTCTAGAAAACACACTCCAATCATCTTCCATATTAAAACAATGGTGAAGGATTCACGGTGTGTGTGTGAGCACACACAGGTGTTTGGAAATTATCCACTCTTCTTCCCAGTTCTCTCTGGATTCTCCCTTAGGAAACAAAAATTTTTGATCTAATTTTAAGAAAATTTTTATTTTTATGAATTTATGCTTATATTCATTTTATATTTAGTTTTCTTTTCTTTCTTTCTTTTTTTTTTTTTTTGAGATGGAGTTTCCCTCTTGTTGCCCAGGCTGAGTGCAATGGTGCGATCTCAGCTCACTGCAACCTCTGCCTCCCAGGTTCAAGCGATTCTCTTGCTTCAGCCTCCCAAGTAGCTGGGACTAAAGGCGTGTGACACCACACCTGGCTAATTTTTGTATTTTTAGTAGAGATGGGGGTTTACCATGTTTTACCATGTTGGCCAGACTGGCCTCGAACGCCTAACCTCAGGTGATCCACCCACTTTGGCCTCCCAAAGTGCTAGGATTATAGGCGTGAGCCACTGAGCCCAGCCTATATTTTGTTTTCTATATTTATTAGATTTATAAATTTTTTAAATCTCCAGCCTTAAGAACATGCTTTATGATTTAAATTTGAAAAGACAAGTTCTCTATATGAAAATAAAGTTCCCTTATCAGCATTTTGTGATATATTTACTGCTAAGTATAGGTTGTGTGCTGCCATTATAAATTTGAATTATGCAAAAAACAAGATAAAGGCTTGAACTTTGCATGTTACTTCTAGAACAGAATACAGCTGATCCTCATTACTAAGAATTCATACTTATTTAGCATACTCGCTAAAATTTATTTGTAACCTCCAAATCAATACTCATAGTACTTTTGTAGTCATTTGTGGTCATGCAAAGAGCAGTGAAAAAATTAAGTTGCCCAATGTGCACATCCCTAGCTGAGGCTAAACCAAGTGATGCTCTGCTTCTTTTTTGGACTCTCATTCTCTAAACAAATGTCCTTTTTGCAGTGTACTTGGTCCTACCTTTCTTACATTTTTGTGCTTTTTCATGATTTCCCTATTTAAATTGGCCTCTAGTGCTGACATGCTGAGGAGTGTTCTTAACCACAAGATTATGATTTGCCTTAGAAAAACACGTTAGATTAGCTTAGTTCAGGCATGAGTTGATATTGACTGCAAGCTCAATGTCAACAAATCAACAATATATTAAATAAGATGTGTGATATTATATATACAGGTTTCATCCACAGCTCCTGGCTCGCAACTCCCACAGCCCTGTTAAAGTCTTTTGTTATAATGTTGGGGCACTTTAGGCCCAGAAAAAGGCCTCAAAAAATGGAATCTCTCTCTCTCTGACCTTCCCTTGCCCTGGTTTCCCCAGCCCAAGGCAGAACTCTAACCTTCCCAGGCCTTTCTGATTGAGTCCTGAGACCCTCAATTCAGAAGGGATCTTGCCCCTTACCCTGGAGGAAGGAATGTGACACACAGGCCAAGAAGAATCTGAACAGACAGGCCTTGCTGGGTTTCCCGCTCAGTCAATGAGTATTAGGTTGGCCAGGCGCTGTGGCTCATGCCTGTAATCCTAGCACTTTGGGAGGCCAAGGCAGGCAGATCACCGGAGGTCAGTTTAAACTGAGACCAGCCTGACCAACATGGTGAAACCCCATCTCTACTAACAATACAAAATTAGCTGGGTGTGGTGGTTGATGCCTGTAGTCCCAGCTACTTGGGAGGCTGAGCCAGGAGAATCGCTTGAACCTGGGAATCAGAGGTTGCAGTGAGCCAAGATCGCGCCATTGCACTCCAGCCTGGGCAACAAGAGTGAAACTCCATCTCAAAAATAAATAAATAAATAAATAAATAAATAAATAAATAGTATTAGATCATACCTTTTTTGTCCAATCACATTTCTGCATGGTTGTCAATCATACCTACACAATGAAGTCTCCATAAGAAGCTCAAGATTGGGTTTGGAGAATTTCCAGATAGCTGAGCACCTGGAGGTTACTGGAGGGTGGTGCACGTAGGGAGGACGTGGAAGCTCCAAGCTCTTCTCCCATACATTGCCCTATGTATCTTTTCATCTGTATCTTGCATAATATCCTCTTTTTTTTTTTTTTTTTTTTTTTTTTGGTTGAGACAGGGTCTCTCTCTGTGTTGTCCAGGCTGGAGTACAGTAGCACTATCTTGGCTCACTGCAGCCTCTGCCTCCTGTGCTCTTTCCTCCCACCTCAGACTCCCAAGTAACTGGGACTACAGGTGCATGCCACCACACTTGGCTTATTTTTTAGCTTTTTGTAGAGACAAGGTCTCACTATATTGCCCAGGCTGGTCTCGAATTTCTGGGCTCAAGCAATCCTCCAGCCTTGGTCCCCACGGTGCTGAGATTTCAGTTGTGAGCTACTGTGCCCAGACTTATAACATCCTTTATAATAAACTAATACATGTGTTTCCCTGAGTTCTCTGAGCCTGTCTAGCAAATTAGTGCAACCCAAAGTCATGAGAATCCCAACTTGAAGCCACTCAGAGGTCAGAAATTCCAGAGACCCAGACATGTGACTCTTGGCTGGGGAGAGCAGGTAGTCTTGGGGATTGGGACTTTAACCTGTGGGATCTGTCCCTATCTCCAAGCAGATAGTGTCAAAATTGAACTGGAGGACACCCAGTGGATGTCTGCTGCAGAATTTACTGCTTGCTTGGGTAGTGGTGTGAGAACAGAGGAAAAACAGTTTTGAGTTTTTCCACTCACATACAAAAGACGTCTTTAACAGAAGCACACTTAAAAGAAAGTCATGTATTGATCAATTGTTGAAAATGTTGTGACCAGACACTTGTAGGAACTTAATTCTTATATTCCACCTGGGAGCAATGATTCAGTGTTTGCTAATTCAGTACCCCCAGCAACTTTATAAAGCATAACTACAGCAAGTAATGAGAATTGCCTGGACCTCCTGCAAAGTACAAGGATTAGAGGTAGATAGTACTAATCCATCCCAGGTACATGGATTAGGCACTGAGAAAGAAGAGCCTTCTAGGATAGCATCCACACTTGACACTGGTTGCTTAGTTAAGTGAATACC
Organism: Homo sapiens; assembly: GCF_000001405.40. Classification (NCBI taxonomy): domain Eukaryota; kingdom Metazoa; phylum Chordata; class Mammalia; order Primates; family Hominidae; genus Homo; species Homo sapiens. The sequence goes on from NC_000004.12 coordinate 110,172,654, forward strand.
CTTCTTCTTAAGAAACGTCTTTTTGAGATCTGATTTTACTTAGTTTAAAATATATGCTTACAAAAATAAATAACTGCATTAGCCCAAAGTACTTAAAAATTCTTGCTGATGTTTTTTACTGTAAACTCTGCTAAGAGCTTTTAAGTCTTGTTACAGTGAAACAATGGACATATACCCCTGGAATATGGAGACTTTTCATTGAGTGTCACATGCAGGGGAAAAAGGAAAACCAACAATACTCCCTGGACCTCCCAAACCTTCTTGTCTTCAAGTCCTAAGCACAACAAAGAATGCAAAAGGAGAGACACACTGCATATGCCTATGTGGATTCTCATATGCTTATGTTCCAGTGACACCTTCCCATTTGTCTTGTGCTAAGTAAACCCACAGGTTTGTGTAATAAAGACAAAAAGCATGCCATTTATTGCCATAATAGTGTACTATTTCATCCACTGACTTGATCTGCCTATCTGTGTATTCAAATAGCACCTATGACCTGCTTCTCCGCCCAGACAGAACAAATTATTGGGTGTGACTTAGTCAAGCATGAGAACAAACAGAGAGAAATATGAACTCAGGCTGTCAAGGCACAGAAGTAGGCAGTAATGGGAAGCAGGTGAGATGTGATCCCAGCAGACCAATGTGTTCTCTGAGTGCTAGTCCCAGGATGGCAATAACTGTTCCAAGTTCTGTTTATGTCACTAGTGATACCCACAACCAGCCATTCTCATCCTAGAACATCCAGGTCTCATACATTCTGAAAGATTCAGACTATCATCTAAAATTGTATTAGACCTGATAAGAATGGTTTCCTTTACCTGATATTCTAGTTCTGCAAAAGGCCACCTTTACTTTGCCCTGTTATTAAACAGTCCATGTCACTCAGCCTATGGCTGCATTTTGCCAAAATTTCCTCAACTGTAAAAAATTCCTTGATCAGGTCAAGTGACATGGACTGTTTAATAACAGGGCAAAGTAAAGGTGGCCTTTTGCAGAACTAGAAATCAGGTAAAGGAAAATAATAATAATAATAATAATAATAATAATAATAAATTCCTCGATCAACTGATTGGTCCTACTGCTAGATGCTCTGGCAAGAAATAAGATAAAATAGCATTACCTTGGGAGCTAAATGATAAGAACTTATGAATACAAAGAAACAACAATGAGGTCTACTTGATGGAGGAGGTTGGGAGGAGGGAGAGGAGCAGAAAAGATCACTTTTGGGTACTAGGCTTAATACCTGGGTGATGAAATAATATGTACAACAAATCCCCATGACACATGTTTACCTATGTAACAAACCTTCACATGTACCCTCAAGCCTAAAATAAAAGTTAAAAAAATAAAAATATAAAAAAGCAAGATAAATATTCGTTGGATAGAAAAAATAGCATGACTTTCAATGTAAATTTTAAAAAAGATTAACCCACAAAAATTAGAAATTTAAAAACTTTTTTTAAAAAGAAAGAAAAAGATTTTAAAATATCAGGATGTAAAGAAAGACAGTCTTTTTTTTTTTTTTTTTGAGACAGAGTCTTACTCTGTTGTTCAGGCTGGACTGCAGTGGCGTAATCTCGGCTCACTGCAACCTCCACCTCCGCAACTCAAGAGATTCTCCTGCCTCAGCCTCCTGAGTACCTGAGATTACAGGCCCATCCCACCATATGCCCGGCTGATTTTTGTATTTTCAGTAGAGATGGGGTTTCACCATGTTGGCCAGGCTGGTCTTGAACCCCCGGCCTCAAGTGATCTGCCTGCCTTGGCCTCCCCAAGTGCTGAAATTACAGGTGTGAGCCACTGCGCCTGGCCTTCAGGCATTTTAAATATATATTCTCATAATAATGAATGCTTTTACTTTTGAACATACATTTTTTAAAAAGGTCAAATGGTATCTCTTTTTGCCTGTGGCCCTACTGAATCAGACTAGACTTACCAAGTTTTCTATTGACCTTAGAATTCCTGATGTGCTAGGTTGACATTCCTATAATGTCAACACACGTTCACTAAAATGAATTTGCTTTTCTGCTATAAGACCTATTAGTCACAGATGGAAATTCTACAACTATAGAATACATGTAAAGCACAAGAAATTGTCACACTATATAACATGACCTTTACCTACATTTTTACTTTTGCTTCAAAGTTGGCATATTTAGATTTAGATGCACCTAAAACCATCCCAAGAATATAATGCACTAAATGAACAACCTAATTATTCTTATAGAGTGCAATTAACTCATAGGATACTTGTTAGTATCCTATGTATTAACTAATCATTCCTTTCGCTTCTTCTTAATCTAATTTTACGGACCAAATAATCTAAGAATGTGTAAATTCCATGTATGTTATAATTTGTTTATACTATAAATATAATTTATAATTTAAAAAACTAAAAAAAAAAATCAAATCACTGTTGGGCTCATATACAATCAAGACATAAGTATCGGCCAGTCACAGTGGCTCATGCCTGTAATCGCAATACTTTGGGAGGCTGAGGCGGGCAGATCACTTGAGGCTAGGAGTTTGAGACCAGCCAGCCAACACGGCGAAACACTGTCTCTACAAAAAATACAAAAATTAGCCACGCGTGGTGGTGCACGCTTATAATCCCAGCTACACGGGAGGCTGGGACATGAAAATCGCTTGACCCCAGAGGGAGAGGTTGCAGTGAGCCAACATTGCGCTACTGCACTCCAGCCTGGGCAACAGAGCAAGACTCTGTCTCAAAAAAAAAAGACATAAATATAATGTTCTCACCTATAAAATGGAGATGAAAAATCCTATTTTATAGGGTTGAAGGAGACTATGAGATAAAGTAAATGTAGTGTGTAAAATTTTAAATACTGACATATGTAAGTAACATCAATGATAACAACATAACTAAAACATATACAGCATCAGTGAAAGCTTTACATATATTAACTCATTTAATCAATATAACAACTCTTATCAGGTTAGTTTATTATTATTAAACTATGCTTTATAGAAGACTTTTACCCTCTCCAAGGTTACAAAGCTGAACAAGGATCAGAACTCAGGCAGTCTAGCCCTAGAGTTACATTACATCTATCATCCCTCTTTATGATGTTACTATCATATGATCCAACAGAGACAGTAACAGCAAATAAAGTCTAAGTCATGCCTTCATAGGAAGGGTAAGTGAGATCTTTATTATGTGCTGAGTAACTGATGATGAATGATAGATTCCAGTATCAATGGTCACAGAGCTTTCTCAATGTGGGGTCATGTTTTAGGATCTCATGTCATGTAATGTGTAAAACTATTCTTTCTTAATCATTTGTACTTGTTTAAATCATTATTCTTCCACTTCCATTAGGAAGTTTGTATCTAGAGCTCTCCTCATTGGCATAGTGGTGAGTTAAAAAAAAAAAAAAAGAACAAGAAAGTATCTAGAGCTCTATCTTCAGAGATTAAAGAGTAATTTACTCAATAGTTTACATTTAACAACACCATGAATAAATCAATGTTTCTACCTTATTTATTTATTTATTTATTTATTTTTTGAGATGGAGTCTCACTCTGTTGCTCACGCTGGAATGCAGTGGCGTGATCTTGGCTCACTGCAACCTCCACCTCCCAGGTTCAAGTGATTCTCCTGCCTCAGCCTCTCAAGTAGCTGGGACTACAGGCACATACCATCACACCTGGATAATTTTTGTATTTTTAACAGAGATGGGGTTTCACCATGTTGGCAGGCTGGTTTCAAACTCCTGACTTTGTGATCTGCCCACCTTGGCCTCCCAAAGTGCTGAGATTACAGGCATGAGCCACTGCGCCTAGCCTCAAAGTTTCTATTTTTTTAGAAGAAATTTCCATTTGTGAAGAGTCATGTAAAAAGTCCCAACATGATTTTTACCGCAACCTGAAATTGTTTCTTTCTTCTGAGAGTATACATTTTTGTGCTAGCGTGGTCAAAGATAACTTATAGCCAACCCAATCCCCCTCCTTTGCCAACAGATAAACTTTACCCGATATTGTGTGGAGGGCAATGTGCCTGGCCCTTGAGAGACAAAGTGCAAGACTGGTTTAAGCCTCTCAAGGCGATCACTCTCTTTGTCATTCTTTGTCATTATTTTTGAGATGGAGTTTCATTCTTGTTGCCCAGGCTGGAGTGCAATGGCACGATCTCGGCTCACTGCAACCTGTCTCCCAGGTTCAAGCGATTCTCCTGCCTCAGCCTCCCGAGTAGCTGGGATTACAGGCATGTGCCACCATGCCCAGCTAATTTTGTATTTTTAGAAGAGACAGGGTTTCTCCATGTTGGTCAGACTGGTCTCGAACTCCTGACCTCAGGTGGTCTGCCTGCCTCGGCCTCCCAAAGTGCGAGATTACAGGCGTGAGCCACCACGCCCGGCCTCTTTGTCATTTAAGAGTTGGTGTAGGAAAGCAATCCCCATCCTCTGTCAGTGAATGGTCCAAGAGTGAAACACATCACCAGGCCTGGCTGATGGCATGAAATTATAGCAATAATAAGAGCAGATCTAGGCATGTTGGCTCATGCTTGTAATCCCAGTGATTGAGAGGCTAAGGCTGGAGGATTTCTTGAGGATAAGAGTTCAAGACCAACCTGGGCAACATAGCATGACCCCATCTCTACAAAAAATTTTAGAATTTGTCAGGTGTGGTGGCATGTCCTGTAGTTCAAACTACTTGGGAGGCTAAGATAGGAGGATCATTTAAGCCCAGGAATATGAGACTGCAATAAGCTGTAATCATGCCACTGCACGCCAGCCTGGCTGACAGAGTGAAACATTGTTTCTTAAAAAATAAATTAATAAATAATAATAATAATAATAAAATAAGAGCATATCCTTTTATAAACTTACTGAGTGCAAGTTGGCTTGGAGGCTTTGCCTTGACAAGAAAGCAAATAAAAAGGCTCCCATGCCACTGCTCCTTTCTTTCTGCTTGAGATGCTTGTGTGGGAAGCTTGGTGATATGGCAGCCACCTTGTGACCATGAAGAAAAAACTATTGACACATTATGAATGGCAAAACGGAAACTCAGATAGAACCTAGGTCATTGATAACATTATTAAAACCACTAAACAACCACTGAGGCTTCCAATCAAAGTTATTGTTATGTGAAATAATTAAAAGTCTTCATGTTTTAGGCTACAGTTAATTAAGTTCTGTTACTTGCAGTTGAAAACATCCTAAAAGTTCCCTGATTGGCATAAATGTTCTTCACACCAAACTGATGAGTATTACCCAAAAATGACATAATCCATGAAGAAAATAATCTGAAACTTATTGCATTTTGTACCTGACTGGTCAAACTTAAAACAATTGTAATACTATTATTCAGTATATTTTGTGTTTCTCTAAAGCTACTAGTTTTCTTTGCCCTGTCGTCTAAAAATGATTAAAAAATAATGTGCTACCTAAAAAGAGTGAGATGCATCTCCTCAAGCTTTTCATGTGTCAGCCAGAACATTACATTAAAGAAACAAATTCTCTCATTTACAGTTTGGTGCAGGAAGTATTTAACAACATGCAGAAATATCCATTCTATATATTTCTTAAAAGTTAGGCTACAGAAAAATATGGTATGAAAACTATGATAATATTTTTGTAAAAAAGAAAACGAGCCGTGCACAGTGGCTCACGACTATAATTCCAGCACTTGGGGAGGCCAAGGTGGGCGGATCTTGAGGTCAGGAGTTCGAGACCAGCCTGTCCAATATGGTGAAAACCCATCTCTACTAAAAAAAAATTAGCCGAGTGTGGTGGCGCACGCCTATAGTCACTACTACTTGGGAGGCTGAGGCAGAAGAATCGCTTGAACTGGGGAGGTGAAGGTTGCAGTGAGCTGAGATGGAGCCAAGATCGTGCCACTGCACGCCAGCCTGAGTGACAGAGAGTGAGACTCCATCTAAAAAAAAAAAAAGGAAAATGGGCCAGACGCGGTGGCTCACACCTATAGTCCCAGCACTTTGAGAGGCCAAGTCAGGACTGCTTAAGCTCAGAAACTTGAGAGCAACCTGGGCAACATAGTGAGACCTCGTCTCTACAAATAATCAAAAAATTAGTCAGGTGTGGTGGTGCTTGCCTGTAGTCTCAGCTACTTGGGAGCCTGAGGCTGGAGAATCACTTGAGCCAGAAGACTGAGGCTGCAGCAGCCTCGGTGACAGAGAGAGACTCTGTCCTAAAACAAACAAACAAAAACATAAAGATGGATAAAAAGTTTTGAAAGACTTACACCAAAATGTTAGTGTATATCTCAGGGTGACATTTGTTTTCTTCTTTTCACTTGTGTTTCTTAAATTTTCTACAATGTATTAAAGTTACCTGCTCCAAGCCTATCCACAAGAAGCAGAAAACTACAACTGATAATGTTTATGCTTTTACAAGTGTCTCTGCAAAAGTATGTATTTTTTTATTTATCAAGATGAATCCTAGTAGTTCTCTACGTTAGGTAAAATCTTTAAAAAAAAAAAGATTATATGTATACCTTCATAATTCTAGGCCTCCAGATACATACAATTTAATTGACGAGACAAATAAAATACATGTATGTAAACTTCAGAAAATAGGGCAAAAATAGGCCAGGTATAGTGGCTCATGCCTGTAATCCCAGCATTTAAGGAGGCTGAGGTGGATGGATCACCTGAGGTCAGGAGTTCGAGACCAGCCTGGCCAACATGGTGAAACCCCATCTCTACTAAAAATACAAAAAATTAGCTGGGTGTGGTGGCACATGCCTGTAATCCCAGCTACTCAGGAGGCTGAGACAGGAGAATTGCTTGAAACCGGGAGGCTGAGGTTGCAGTGAGCCGAAATTACGCCACTGCACTCCAGCCTGGGCAACAAGAGCAAAATTCCATTTCAAAAGAAAAGGGCAAAAATATTAAATCATTAAACCCAAATGAAATAAAGAGAAAACAAGAATATTTATTTTCATTTTCACATGAAAAAATACAATTTAAGCTAATATTAAAGACAACTAGCAAGCTATTGATGGTCTGGCCTAAGGTCAATGAAAACTTAATTTATATAATGCTTTGGAAAACTACTTCATTCCAAATGTCCTAGATATTGCATATAAACAAGACATACGGAGCTGTTATGTTGTAACTACCTAGAGAAAACAGTTTAAATCTATTATAGCACATCTAGATATGATAAACTATAAACATAAAAGAACCTATATTCTTTCCACTGAGTAAAATTTAATCCTGAAGAAGGACAACCATTAGCACCTAATTTTAGTTATTTTCTGTACTCCATCATGAAAAGGTAGAACATGTCATCAGCTTCACACTCCCTATTCCTCATCCCTCCAGCATTGCTGGGGAAAAAGGAGTCTCTGGACACTGAATGCTCTGTGGGGAAGAAATATCAGCCATAAAATGTTTAGTCAGAAGACAAACTCTTAGGTCTCTGAGGATGAGCCTTCTGTTACTTATCCATGGTATAATTCTCAAAAACACGGTAGAGTTTTTTCTTTTAGTATATGCCACATAGTTTTCTATTGTGAGTGTGCTTATTGTATCCATATAATGCAAGTTCACCCCCTAAAAATCTCGGGTTTGCCTGAATTATCTGTGTGAAATAACACCCACAATCTAAGCCCAGATAGCAGATATAATGTGCTAATCTCGTCTCACTCTAACAGCAGAACTAAAGTTTAGAATTAACATTTGCTGGATTTAAAAAGAATAAGCCAAATCATTAAGAAAGCTTTATTTATTTACTTATATATGTATGTATGTATTTATAGGAACAGGGTCTCATTTTGTTGCCCAGGCTACTGGAGTGGAGTAGTACAATCATGGTTAACTGCTGCCTCAAACTCCGGGCTCAAGCAATCCTCCTGCTTCAGCCTCCCAAATAGTTGAGACTACAAGCAGCTATCAAACCTGGCTAATTATTATTTTCTCTTTTTATTTTTATTTTTTTAATAAAGCAAGATGAGTTCTCACCATGTTGCCCAGGTTGGTCTCAAACTCCTGGAATCAAGCAATTCTCCTGGCCTCACGGCCTCAGCCTCCCAAAGTGCTGGGATTACAGGCATGAGCCACCACACCTGGCCTATACTTTGTTTTCTTATATCCAGAAATAATAATTTAAGTGGTCTATAGCTTAAGAATGAAATTTTGTCTAAATTTAGATAAAGGATAGGAACAAAAAATAGCCAAGAGCTGTTTATAGAGATTTTTAAAAACTATATTCCAAGGCCATGTGTGGTGGTTCACATCTGTAACCCCAGCACTTTGGGAAGCCAAGGCAGAAAGATTACTTGAGACCCGGAATTCAAGACCAGCCCAGGCCCCATAGCAAGACTCAGTCTCTACAAATAATTTAAGAATTTAGCTGGGTGTGGTAATGCATCCCTGTAATCCTACCTACTAGGGAGGCTGAGGCGGAAGGATTGCTTGAGCTTAGGCATTCGAGGTTACAGTGAGCTATGATTGTGCCACTATCCTCCAGCGTGGGAGACAGAGTAAGACCCAGTCTCAAAAAAAAAAAAATTAAATTAAATTAAGGCCGGGCGCAGTGGCTCACGCCTGTAATCCCAACACTCTGAGAGGCTGAGGCGGGTGGATTGCTCGACTCCAGGAGTTCAAGACCAACCTGGGCAACACAGTGAAACCCTATGTCTACTAAAAATACAAAAAATTAGCTAAGTGTGGTGGTGTGCACCTGTAATACCAGATACTCGGGAGGCTGAGGTGGGAGAATCACCAGAGCCCGGGAGGTTGAGGCTGCAGTAAACCAAGATCGCACCTCTGCACTCTAGCCTGAGTGACTAGAGTGAGACCCTGTCTAAATAAATAAATAAATAAAGTTAAAACTGTATATGATTTTGAACCAGTCTCCTCTAACCTCTAGGGACATAGACAATGGAGAGAAAAAGACTGGGATGGAAAGCCAGGTCTTCATAGATCTAAGCCAACTTCCTAGATCCTAGTTAACTTGATCAACTACAGGGTTAACTAAGATGTAAAACAAGGAGGAGAGGAGAGAAAATAAAATAAAATGTAAAACAAAACAAAACATCTACTTTCTGTGTACTGAAAGGTAACCTTCTCCATCTTTCTTCTCTCAGAAAGGAAGTCTAGAAGACTAGAAATGGCCCAGACCAGTATGATCTGCTTCACAAAGCAGTCCTGTGGAAAGCCCTGTCACATTGCTCCCAAGCAGATCACACATACCAGGCTCTCTGGATCCACAGAGCCTGGCCTCTGGACTAGACAGACTGGCCCCTTCTAAACTTCGTTTCAGAGAGTATCAAAATCTTTCTAGCTCCTCTTAACCAGACACTATCTCCTAGGCATTCTGCAGTACTACTGAAGATATTTGTTAACCACGTACTCCAGGTACGTGTGCAGCATCTGTTTCCAGGTGCCACAAGGTCCCTGAGCCAATTATTCTATTCATTTTTTTCTCACTCTAGGGACAGGTTTATGCTTAACCTTTTGTCTGTATTAGATTAGATGACTTTTGTCCCTGGGGAACCTTTGTCCCATTAGATACATTCCTGGGCCCACATGTAAAAGTTGTAATTCTAAAGTTAAATTAATGTTTTTTATCATCCTCCCTTGAAGTATGATCCTTTCCTATTAAAAAAATCAAATTATGTAATTTATTATTGAAGAAGGAGAAACAAGTTTATTGTGACATCAACAATATGGCCCCTCCTCCTCAGTCTAAGAAAGCAAATTCATTTGGAGTAAGAATGGGCAGTTCAATGTCCTCACAAACTGTCTTTATGTTTAATTGTATTGCTAATTTTAATGTTTATTTTTAAATGAATTAGTTTTTTTAAGATTGTTACCTGATACCAGGTATTGTACATACATCTTTGTAGAATGAAACTTATCTTAAAACATTAAGTACATTATAGTTAATGCAAAGAATGTGAAAATAAGACCACATGGATAATCACACCACCCACATATACCCAGAATATAATATGAACAGATTATAGAAAACTGGAACAGGGAGGCCGGGCGCGGTGGCTCATGCTTGTAATCCCAGCACTGTGGGAGGCCGAGGTGGGTGGATCACCTGAGGTCGGTAGTTCGAGACCAGCCTGACCAACATGGAGAAACTCCGTCTCTACTAAAAATACAAAATTAGCCAGGCGTGGTGGCCCATGCTTGTAATCCCAGCTACCTGGGAGGCTGAGGCAGGAGAATCACTTGAACCCGGGAGGCGGAGGTTGCGGTGAGCCAAGATTGCGCCATTGCACTCCAGCCTGGGCAACAAGAACAAAACTCCGTCTCAAAAAAAAAAATGAAAACTGGAACAGCAGAAGGATAAGGAGTAAACTCTGACCTTATTTCTCTCTTGCCCAAATTCCTAGCTAAAGGGTCTGGGGAGTCACACCATACAAATCATAAAATCTCTCCAAACCTGAATCTGGCATAACATCACATGACAGATAAAGAAGGAAATCAAAATATTTTACCCCGAGGCTTCTAGATGACTTTATTTAAAAAACAAACAAACAAAAAAACACCCAAAATATGTTTCTTTGCTACTACGGGCAGTCACGTATGAGACTTTATCTACCTAAGAACCTTATGTAGAACCACAACCCCTTATCTTAACCCAGACACTCTTTTCTACTGATTCCTGGCTTTTAGATAATAATTTAACTCTTTTAACAAACTGCCAATCAGAAAATATTTGAACCCAGCTGTAAGCAACATCCCCTCCCTAATTCAAGTTGTCCTGCTTTCCGGGCAGAACCAATATATACCTCACATGTATTGACTGACGTCTTATGTCTCCCTAAAATGTGTAAAACCAAGCTATAAACCAGCCACCTTGTGCACATGTTCTCAGGACCTCTTGAGACTATACCTCAGGCCATGGTCACTCATATTTGGCTCAGAATAAATCTCTTCAAATATTTTACAGTGCTGTGCTCTTTTCATCAACAAAGATAAATAATAACCATTGTTTTACCACCTTTACAGATCTATTTTTTTTTTACCTCTTTAGTATGTTTTTCTTCCAGGTTTTTTTCTTCTTGTGCATACAATTCCACCCTTCCTTCTACTTTAGAGAAGTCTTTTTTTAAAAGTCATCTCAGCCAGGCACGGTGGCTCACAGCTGTAATCCCAGCAATCTGGATTGCTTTGAGCTCAGGAGACCAGCCTGGGCAACGTGGGGAAATCCCATCTCTACAAACAATACAAAAATTAGCCATGCGTGGTGGTGTATGCCTGTGGTCCCAGCTATTTGGAAGGCTGAAGTGGGAGGATCACTTTAGACTGGGAGGCAGACGTTGCAGTGAGCTGAGATCGTACCACTGTACTCCAGCCTAGGCAACAGAGTGAGACCCTGTCTCAATCAATCAATCAATCAATAAAATATAAAATAAAAAAATCATCTCTCTCTGATTGGAATAGATAGTTTGAGTATCTAGAAAAGGACTAATAATCCCCAACAGTTAGCATGGATTCACTGATAATTAGTCATGTTAAATGCCTATGTTTTCTTCTTAAAAATGAGATCAGATGAAGAGAGTAAAATATTTTTAAGGGACTGGACAATCTCCCATGATTCACTTAACGAAATACAAAGCAGTGCCAGATAATATAATCAGATACATTTAAAAGTTAATGAACAGCCTCGTATGTCCATGCATGCATTCATTCAACTATTCAAACACTGAATATGCCAAATTCTGTGGTAAGCACTGATTTCAGAGAAAATATTTATCTATTTATAAACCAAGTGCCAGTGAACCACAAATAAAGAGCAATAGATATAGATGGGTGGAGAGAAGAAGGCTTTGGAATTCAAATTTCAACTAAGTAGGCACTGGACAAGGGCTGCTTCTAGAGGTAACATTAAGAAGGGAATTTGGTGCCAGATTTTGAATGACCTTAAAACAACGGGAAACCACTGAAGGTTTTTAACCATTGTGATGACAAGATCAGATCAGTGACTCAGAAAGACAATGGGAGGTAGGAATCTAGAAGACTAAAAGTAGTCCTGGGGAGCTAAAGGAAGTCAGTGGCAAGCACAATGAACCGAGAAAAAGGGAACTGACAGCCAACTCACACAGGAATTGGTTGTAAATTACAGGTAGGAGAAAAGGGAGATGAGTACTTTCATGCTGAGCTATGTACTGGTCCCACATAGATGACAAAGCAGGTAAAGCAGATTAGCTAAGGAAGAGTTCAGTCTGTAAAATCGATGGTTTGAGAAGACAAACCCAAAGAATGAGAGATGGAATCAGTTTCATACAGAGCAGTGCTTCTCCCTAGGGCAAGTGGGAAGGTTTTTCACAGTAACACTTGTCTGGACCCCTCCACAGATCTGCTAAATCTGAATCCCTGAGATAAGCCTGTGCATGTGTGTACTGGGGAAAAATAAACCCTATGTAAGTCTGATTCAATACCTGGGTAAGGATCATGGACATGGAGCAAGCTTCTAAAGCTTTTTCTTACCCTACACTTTTCTCTTGTCAGTGGACAAAGGATTTAGTGATTACAAAGAGCTGGCAAAGAACCAAGTACTAACCAAAGTAGTGCAATCACACATAATATCAGCAATCACAAAATACAGGTTCAAAAAAAGTATTTTTGTTAATATGAATGCAAGAGCAGTAATTCAAAACTAAATACAACTCAAGGCAACCTTGTATTCACTGATAACAGTGTCCTTAAATTTTGTAGAATGTCATGTATGTACAGTAGGAGCTTTGCAATGTTCCAAAGCAATGAGTTGCAGCCGTTTTAGCAGAATATGTAATTAGAACCCCACTCCTACCCCCACTCAAGAGCAAGTCTCTAGTACAGACTTACTGTGTTGAATGTACTAAGTGCCAAATTTTAGCAAGTTTTAATAAATCTCTTAGAGGTTTCTAGTAGGTAATACTTAATTGTTCAAACCAAAAGAGGGCTAATATTTTATTTTTCTTAAGTAGCTAGGTGGATTACCAGTGGACTGCAAATAAAATTTGAGAAATGGCTTAGAAAAGAAGGCCTAGAGAGAACATAATATGTACAAGTAGTATTAAGACAACCATGCAGAAATGGAAATAAAAGTCAGCTAGAGTCACAATTAGGATGACAGGAGGACTGATGGAGGAACCTGTCTTTCAGGTCAATATGTAGAAGAACCTTTAATGAAAGGATAGAACTTTCAAGTCAGTATGTAGAAATACCTTCAATCAGCCACTCCATGTATAATGGACTGAAAGGGGCTTCCTGAGAAGTCCTGAGGTCTTGGATAACCAAGAGAAGAATAAGAAAATGATTTATTTAAGGCTGGGCACGGTGGCTCACACCTGTAATCCCAGCACTTTGGGAGGCCGAGGTGGGCGGATCACAAGGTCAGGAGTTCGAGACCACCCTGGCTAACATGGTGAAACCCTGTATCTACTAAAAATAGAAAAATTAGCCAGGCATGGTGGCAGGCACCTGTAGTCTCAGCTACTCAGGAGGCTGAGGCAGAAGAATCGCTTGAACCCGGGAAGCGGAGGTTGCAGTGGGCCAAAATTGCACCACTGTACTACAGCCTGGGCAACAGAGCGAGACTCCGTCCCAAAACAAAACAAGACAAAACAAAAACAAAAACAAACAGAAAAAAAATAAAGTGACTTAACAAGTAGGTGACTATTCCTGCTGACCACCAACCCACACAAAAATGCTATCATCTATAACCTTCTCTACAGTCAAGAAAACTTATTTTGAGACATCTGATAGCCTACCCATCTCTCTCCTACCGGCCCCCACACAACGTAAAAATAAACAACACTGAGAAGCAGTGTGATAGTCTTTCTTTTGTCCTCTTCTGATCAGACTCTCTACATTCTGAATGTTGGGATGTTTCTGATTCAAAACAAGCAGTATGGGTTAGTGCCAGTGATTATTTTAAATATAAGTGGAATGGGTTCAGGTGCAATGGCTCTAATCCCAGCACTTCAGGAGGCGGAGGTCACTTAAGGTCAGGAGTTCGAGACCACCCTGGCCAACATGGTAAAACCCTGTCTCTACTAAAAATACAAAAATGAGTCGGGCATGGTGGCACGTGCCTGTAAGTCCAGCTAGTCAGGAAGCTAAGGTGGGAGAATCACTTGAACCCAGGAGGTGGAGGTTGCAGTGAGTTGAGATTACACCACTGCACTCCAGCCTAGGTAACAGAACGAGACTCTGTCTCAAAAAAAAAAAAAAAAAAAATATATATATATATATATATATTTATATATATACACACACAAATATATACATATATACACATATATATATACATATATATGGAATGTTTCAAAAAAAAAAACTATCAATTGAATAAAACCGTGGATGTCAATGTTCCGTGATTTCAAATTCATTATGTATTATTCAATAAAGTAGGTAAACCTATCTTATGATGTCATGTAATAGTTATTATAATTAGCCAATCCTTATCTTCACTCATTTTATATTTATTCTATTACAATTTTAACATTTCAATTTATGATGAAAATTTAAAAATGTGTGAGGCAGTGCATAGTTTTTTAAACTTCTATTAGAGGCATATGAGTAAAAGAGTCTGAAAATCACTCCTTTTCCTATGGAAAACTCCATAAAACAAATTTCTTCTGATTAAGCACCACAATTAAGAGGTCCTTTGACCTCTTAATTGTCCCTTAATTTACATAGTATCTATTGTTTCAGTCCTTTCTGGAGCCATTTTTGACTGGACATGAAGTTTCCACCTCTTCACAAGAGTTACTATGTAGCAAACAGTAAGCAGAGAAAAAGCATATAACCTAACTGCTTGGACAAATGAAGGCTTCTCAAGTTAGACCTCAGCAAAATGAAAAAAAAAAAAAAATTGCTTGGGAGGCCGAGGCAGGCGGATCACCTGAGATCAGGAGTTTGAGACCAGTGAAACCCCGTCTCTACTAAAAATACAAAAAATTAGCCTGGCATGGTGGCACGCATGTGTAGTCCCAACTAATAGGGAGGCTGAGGCAGGAGGATCACTTGAACCCAGGAGGCAGAGGTTGCAGTGAGCCAAGATCACACCACTGCACTCCAGCCTGGGTAACAGGAATGAAACTCCATCTAAAAAAAAAAAAAAAAAATTGTAATGTGATAGTACGTAAATCTGTTCAGTGCAGTCCCTGGCACATAGTAGGGAACCCAGGCTGTCACAGTTTAGGTACTGAATGGTCTAAGGCATACTAAAAAACCTGGAAACAAGGCTGAAGGAAATGGAGCAAAATAACAGTGGCAGCCTCTGGAAAAGAATTAAAGGTGTTTCCTTTCCGACATCTTTATACTTCTTAATGTTTTCATTTCATTTCTTTTCCTGTAACTATTTCTTACCTTAGAATCAGGAAAAGAATTTAAAGCTACTAAAATGAAACAAAAGGTATTCTGTGATTCTTCACATTGTAGGAGCTGACCTTCAAGAATAGGGATATCCCCAACCCACATATTTTTATTTTACTGTCAACAGTGGGTGGCTATTTACAAGTAGCTACACTAAAACCTGCTGGGAAGAAAGTCTGGCTGCAGATCAGATGGAAACACAAATTCCCAGGGTCTAGAACCAAGCTGAGTGCAAGAAATTAATATCACAGAGCAGACAGTAAATATTTCATAGGCCAAAGCTTTATTCTGGCCTTAAGTATTCAGGATCCACCCAGTGAAAATTATTAACAAAAGAGACATTTGTGAGATCATTGACTAAAACCACAGATACCTGACACGTTTCCAGTGCAGCCAAGTTTTCAAGTGCATTGTTTTTCTGATTGAATATTATATTAATATTCAAATAAGAGGATGATTGGGGCCTTGTGACACACCCCTCATCATCACACCAGCCATCCAAGCCTTATTCAAGCCTGGAACCCAGTTTTCCTTTTCTGATTCCTACATGCAAATCCCAACTCCCCTTCCTGAGTTGTCCATCGTGCAAAAGATCATAAAGGGTGGCTGCAAGGGTTTAACAGTTAAAGTACGTAAAACATTGGCCAGGCGCGGTGGCTCATGACTGTTATCCCAGCACTTTGGGAGGCCGAGGTGGGAGGATCACCTGAGGTTAGGAGTTCGAGACCAGCCTGACCAACATGGAAGAAACCCCATCTCTACTAAATATACAAAAAAAATTAGCCAGGCATGGTGGCGTATGCCTGTAATCCCAGCTACTCAAGAGGCTGAGGCGGAGAGTTGCTTGAACCTGGGAGGCAGAGGTTGCGGTGAGTCGAGATCATGCCATTGCACTCCACTGGGCAACAAGAGTGAAACTCGGTCTCAAAAAAAAAAAAAAAAGTAAAACATTATAAAAGGATGCCTGCAATCAGGTAACCATGTATTAACTGTTAGTATCATTGCTCCTGAATGAAGAAAATCTACCCTGCTGTCTAGGTGTGGTGGTTTACACCTGTAATCCTAGCACTTTGGGAAGCTGAGATGGGAGGATCACTTGAGGCCAACAGTTCAAAACCAGCCTGGGCAACATAGCAAGACCCCCATCTCTCCAATACAATAAAAAAATTAGTTGGGCAAGGTGGTGCGTGCCTGTAATCCCAGCTACTTGGGAGGCTGAGGCAAGAAGATCGCTTGGACCAAGAAGCGGAGTTTGAGATTACAGTGAAGTATGATTGTGACACTGCACTCCAGCCTGGGTGACAAGCAAGACCCTGTCTCTATTTAAAAAAGAGAGAGAGAGGCTAGACGCAGTGGCTCACGCCTGTAGTCCCAAAACTTTGGGAGGCCGAGGTGGGCGGATCACTTGAGGCCAGGAGTTCGAGACCAGCCTGGCCAACATGGTGAAACCCCGTCTCTGCTAAAAATACAAAAATTAGGCAGGTGTGGTGGCAGGTGCCTGTAATCCCAGCTACTCAGAAGGCTGAGGCAGGGGAACTGCTTGAACCCAGAAGGTGGGAGTTGCAGTGAACTAACAGCCAAGATCATGCCACTGCACTCAGACTGGGAGACACAGCAAGACTCTGTCTCAAAAAAAAAAAAAAAAAAAAAAGAGAGAGAGAGAGAGAAAAGAAGAAAATGAAGTTATACTTGTTTACTTGTTTCACTTTAAATAGGATTATAGGGCTTGGCGCAGTGGCTCACACCTGTAATCCCAGCACTTTGGGAGGCCGAGGTGGGCAGATCACAAGGTCAGGAGATCGAGACCATCCTGGCTAACACAGTGAAACCCCGTCTCTACTAAAAATAGAAAAATTAGCCAGGTGTGATTGTGGGCGCCTGTAGTCCCAGCTACTCGGGAGGCTGAGGCAGGAGAATGGTGTGAACCCGGGAGGCAGAGCTTGCACTGAGCCGAGATCATGCCACTGCACTCCAGCCTGGGCGACAGAGCCAGACTCCATCTCAAAAAAAAAAAAAAATTGGATTATAAACCTCATGTGTGTTTTGAGGAGGTAGATCTCCCTCCCCAAAATATATTTCATCAATAAAACTTTCCTTATATCACAACTAGGAACTCTTCTATAAAAGTTTTAGCAAGAAAAAAAAAACTGAAATATGAATCCCTGTAAATAAAAGTATTACAAAACTATGAGTGATTTTCTAGCAAAACTACTTACAATCAGCATGTCTAATTTATCTCAGCAAATTTATCTTAGCAAAGGTAAGTGTAAGTCTTTTTTCTCCTGTACTTTTTTTTTGTACAAAGTAAAGACTTAAAGTTAAATCTCAGTAAGTTCACAGTGGGCAACTAACTCAGCAAAGGGTTTCCTAGTAATAGGAACCTTAAAACTAAAAGTCGCAAACACTCAATGCAGAAAGGAATCATGATAAATGTGTAGGCTTGACCTTAGATGACTGACATGGTTCCAAGCTTTGGGATAACTATTGCACAACCAACTTAAAATTACAAATTCATATTCTTTACTCTTGGGCAATACTTTTTTTGTTTTGTTTTGTTTTGAGACGGAGTCTCACTCTGTTGCCCAGGCTGGAGTGCAATGGTGCAATCTCGCCTCACTGGAACCTCGGCCTCCTGGGTTCAAGCGATTCTCCTGCCTCAGCCCCTGGAGTAGCTGGGATTACAGGCGCCCGCCACCACGCCCGGCTAATTTTTGTAGTTTTAGTAGAAATAGGGTTTCACCATGTTGGCCAGGCTGGTCTCGAACTCCTGACCTCAAGTGATCCACCCACCTCAGCCTCCCACAGCGCTGGGATTACAAGTATAAGCCACCATGCCCGGCCACTTTTTTTTTTTTCAATTTTTGTGTTTTTTTTGAGACACAGTTTTGCTCTGTTGCCCAAGCTGCATTGCAGTGGCATAATCTCAGCTCACTGCAACCTCCGCCTCCAGGTTCATGCCATTCTTGTGTCTCAGCATCCAGAGTAGCTGGGACTACAGGTGCGTACCACCATGACCAGCTAATTTTTGTATTTTTTGTAGAGACAGGGTTTCGCCACTTTGACCAGGCTGGTCTCGAACTCCTGACATCAAGTGATCCGCCTGCCTCGGCCTCCCAAAGTGCTGGGATTACAGGTGTGAGCCACCATACCCGACCCATACAATACTTTTTAAAAAAGGACCCATGTATCTCTAAAATAAATTATTGGAGGGTAAATATAATTAGAGATGCTGGGTTTTTTTAAAGTTCTCAGAAACCTCAATAACTATGCCAACATTTGTACCTGCCTGAATACATGTACAATCAGAATCTGGATAAAGGAATGAAGTTATGAGTTTTAACATTACAATATAGCCAAGTCATAGTTTCACTCAGATTACCTAGGGTTATCAACAGAAATGACATATGTGGTACAGGTAACTTTCCCTAAACCCTCCTAAAAAAGATAAATGAGAAGTAAATGGGAGCGGGTGGATGTGAGCTACATAAAGAGTAAAGGGAGGGCTGAGGCAAACTTTGTAGAATGATGTCTGGTTCCTATTAATAAAGGACAGTTTGGCTCACCTGTGTCCATATGTGAAAAATTAAGTTAATCATTAAGACAATGTTTGGTTAACTCATTTCAGAAAATAAAATACTTGGACCTGAAATATTTCAGATCACTTAAGCCAAGATAAATTCCTGAATTGCCAGAATGGTGCCACACTCATTTTACTTTGTTGTCTAAAGACTGATTAGATGGGGGGCCGGGCACCTGTAATCCCACCTACTCAGGAGGCTGAGGCTTGAACCCAGGAAGCAGAGGTTGCAGTGAGCCAAGACCAGGCTCAAAAAAAAGAAAAGAAAAAGAAAATTGATTAGATGGTTATTGTATATCCCCCTAAGTATTTCAAAACCTCCGTCCCCCTCATAACTCTTCCACTATCTAAGCTGAAAGATTCCTCTGGCCGGGCATGGTGGCTCACACCTGTAATCCCAGCACTTTGGGAGGCCGAGGTAGGTGGATCACCTGAAGTCAGGAGTTCGAGACCAGCCTGACTAACATGGTGAAAACTCGTTTCTACTAAATACAAAAAAATCAGCCGGGTGTAGTGGCGCATGCCTGTAAACCCAGCTACTCAGGAGGTTGAGGTAGGAGAATCACTTGAACCCAGGAGGCAGAGGTTGCAGTAAGCCGAGATGGAACAATTGCACTCCAGCCTGGGCAACAAGGGCAAAACTCCATCCAAGAAAAAAAAAAAAAAGAAAGAAAGAAAAAAAAGAAAAAGAAAGATTCTTCTTTCAAGGAAGTATATAAGGCAACTCTTAGATATGGAATAAGTTGACTTTGAAGTTTCCAGCCATTTTTCTTACAAATGCACGCAGAAGGTTACGAGGAAGATTTCAGGAAGAAATTTAAAGCAATCCTCACTAAAGGAAAAACAACAGTGAAATACTATGTCTGCATTTGAAAAGTTTCATTAAGTTCCAATGTTATACACTTTGACACATTTAGAATCACCCTCAAACAAAAAAGCAACAGGCAATCCTCTGAAGATCACAAAATTTTACTTCCAATGTGAAAAAGACTTCATGAAAAAATTTTAAGCACTAATTATAACTAGTACAAATACACAGATGGATAATATAATCATAAAATATTTTGCATTAAGCTGGCTTTCATCCTTTGGAATCCTAAACAAGAATTGCATGAATATTTATAATTTATTAAAAGATACATGAAAGTTCATATCAAAGCTCCAGCACAACTTTACATTATTTTCTAGGACCCCACACAGATTACACGTTTTTTCTCTATGTATTTTCTCATTCTTCTCACTCTTAACCTAGTACATATGCCTACATCCCAGTGCTTTCTAAAAATTATTGAATGTCATGTTATGATCCTCACACAAGTTTTAATCCTAAATCAATATGAACTGTGATACCTCAAAATAAACAGCAAGTGACATGAGTACAATATAGACACACTATATTCCTACAGAGCTGACCAAATTTGTTGCTGCAATGTTAATGATGAAATGAAACTCTGGCCTACTCTGTTCCATAGTCACAGATGCACTGTTTTCCAGCCATTTTTCTTACAAATGAATGTAGAAGGTTGCAAGGAAGACTTCAGGAAGCAATTCAAAGCAATCCTCACTAAATGAAAAACAACAGCCAAATACTATGTCTGCATTTGAACAGTTTCATTAACATTATGCTGCTATATTTTTTATGCTGCTATATTTGAGTTAAATGCTAACACAGGTTTTTAGTGCTTTTTATGTTCTTTAATCATGAAATTGTACATCGTGTTACTTTCCAAACTTCACCTACAAAAAAGATATAGATGTACAACTCCTTTTAAAATGTTTCACGGCCGGTTGCAGTGGCTCAAGCCTGTTATCTCAGCACTTTCGGAGGCCGAGGTGGGCGGATTACTTGAGGTCAGGAGTTCAAGACCAACCTGACCAACACGGTGAATTCCCATCTCTACTAAAAATACAAAAATTAGCTTGGTGTCATGGCAGGCACCTGTAATCCCAGCTGCTTGGGAGGTTGAGACATAAGAATCACTGGAACCCGGAGGCAGAGGTTGCAGTGAGCCAAGATTGTGCCACTGCACTCCAGCCTGGGCAACAGAGTGAGACCCTGTCTCAAAAATAAAACAAAATAAAATAAAATGTTTCACTCCATTTTTACCTTTGGTAAAAACAAATTTGTGAATAAAAAGGCTTCCTCAGCTGAACAGCATTTAATTCTTAAAATTCCTATACTATCTTATAGACTCTATAATACAGAATACAAAATGTTAAAACAAGTAAACCCTTTTACACCACCAAGGGAGTGAGTGGGGAGAAAAGTCAGAAAAATATATAAAGCTTTGAAAGGCTGGATGTGTGGAGAATGCCAGGAGAGGGGGAGGGTTTCATGAAGTTCTAGGCAAGCCCTTTGAAGACGTCACCTCACATACATAATGTTACAGCAGTCAGCACAGGCCTCCTGCTTTCCTATTGGTGGGCACCGTGTCAGCCGACATCAGAAGATAATCATCATTGGCTAGACAATTACAACTGGAGCAACTAGCATCCACTGCTGTTAGCACAAACCTGGCAGGCTGCTGAAAGAGAAGGCAGAGAGAGCCCAGCTTCCCTTCTCACTCAATGAATTATATGTCGCCTTAGCAATCACCAGGTGATTTTGCTCCCTGGCTAGCAGCACTTCCAACTTAAGTCAGCTCTTAGTGAGAAAAACAGGTAAAGGCCAGACATCTCATAAAAGAGCAAAATGTCTCTATTTTCAATGTTGTAAAATTGCAAGGACTTTTCAGTGAAAATTAGAATTCAAAACTCCTATTTGGACCTATGAGCAGACATTTTTCTCTACCTCATGTAATAAACTCTCATTGACCAGATAATATAACCAGACAGGATATTTTTCACTGGACATGTAGTTTCAAGATGAGGCCCAGGATGATTCTACAAGGGAATACACTTATTACTTTGCATTTCAATTGCTATTCTAACCTATTATATATGAAACTTTTTGCTAGCAAAGTAAAAAAAGTCTGCAGTATTTACTTTCATGGCTAGGCCAATGAGTATGAGGTTAATGATTCATTAAAGCAGCAATAAACTTGAAAACTAGCCTCAGTTGAACCCTTTAGGGTTTATACAAATGCTACTCCAAAAGTCGGGCCCCATTCCATTAACACGTGCTATGGTTAGTAAGTATGGATTATAGGGTATGTTAACATTAATTTGCGCTATGGTTAGTAAGTATGGATTATAGCGTATGTTTAATAAAGTATTCTTATTTTAGGTCCTCTTAAATGATGCTAGTTAGCAAAGGCAGCATACTGGCAAAATACTACTCCTGGCCATTCTCACAGTTCTTCAAAAGCCAATGTAGTTCACTTTTGAGAGAGGATGTTTTAATTCTCTAAATTAACAAGTTTTGCCTGTTACTAAGAAGAGATTTATAAGGACAACCATAAATTCCCAAAAGACAGAGTAGAAGCTTCACTATATCATGTTTTTCCTCCAGAAGCTATTTCAAACCATTTTAAGTTAATGAGTCTGAAAAAGGTAAGATTTTATGGTTTCCTCAAGTTCCTCTCTCCTCAAGAGGGTCTAAGCCTTGGTTATGGAGTTCCCTTCTCCTATTAAAAAGGGAGTGAAAAGAAAATCTGGTTCAAGACTTTTTGTCCTGCATTAGCTGGATTCTATTAAAAATAAAAACTAAAAGCTTTAATTTGAACCTCCCGGGTTCAAGCAATTCTCCTGCCTCAACCTCCCGAGTAGCTGGGATTACAGGCACCCGCCACCACGCTCGGCTAATTTTTTTGTATTTTTAGTAGAGATGGGGTTTCACCATATTGGCCTGGCTGGTCTCGAACTCCTGTCGTCAGGTAATCCACCCACCTCAGCCTCCCAAAGTGCTGGGATTACAGGCAGGAGCCACCACACCCGGCTAATAAAATTAAATTTTAAAAAGTGTTTAAAGTCTTTTTGGCTGTACAGTTTTTGGGGAGGGAGGAGAGATAAAATTGGGCACCCTGGGATATTGGGAGAAATGCACAAAATCTGGCATTTAAAAAAAAACATGAAAGTAAGACAATTAGGGTCAGGAAGAGTTGCAAGGGAGGGGTAACAGCCAGCAGGGTTCTTTGACTGCAATAAGCAATCTAAGAACATAACATCAACAGAGAGCAGAAGCCAGGAAGGGAAAAATCCCAAGATGTGACTCTGCCACGGTATGCAAGTTCTAGCCTGTTAACCTTCGGGTATTAACGAGTAGTGCTGGCAATAAAATGGGCACCAATCACCATTTCAACTCACTGGACATTTTCTCAAGAATGTGCCTTATGCAAAGCACTCTGCTAGGTGCTTTGCAGAATCAAGAGTGGGATGACAAGAACCGTAACCTGAAGAGCTGATGGTCTGTAAGTTAATAACCATGTATATAACAGTAAAGGATATTGCCAGAAGAAAGGTACAGATAAAGAACTAGGAGGAAACAGTGGTCAGAACCTAACAGGAGTAGATACGTTGGCACATTTTTGTCATTTTCAGTCCCACGAGGGCTGAGACCTGTCTGGCTCAGTACTGAGTGAATGGAGAGAAGAGGCGGGAAATGGTACCTGAAGCAGGCCTAGGAAGTGGCCTCAGAGAAAAAGCAACAAGTAAATAAGAGGCAGTATCGACTGCAGTGGGCTAGGAATGGCGGGCGTACAGTGAATGGGGTCAGCCAGCAAAGCGAGGGAAAGCGGACTCCGGAAGAGCAGGTTAAACCAGGACGCAGCAAGTCAGAGATTCGGCACAGAAGCAAATGCTGACCACACTGACCACACAGGCTAATGCGGGAGGACTGTGGGCCCGAACAGGCCGGCTGGAGGATATGACAAACATGTGCGGAGAAGACCCGGGCCCGGGGCTAGCCAGCAGCGCGGTTCCGGCGCCCGCCGGCTCCGGCCACCGCCCCCTCCCCGCCTCCAGCACCACCCCCTAAGCGGGAGGAGGAAGTGCATCCAGAGAAGGACCCCGGGCGGTGGGGCTCGAGGGGCCTCGGCTGCCCCGAAACGCCGAGGTCTATCTGCGGTCTCGACCCTTAGTGTCCAACCTCCTTCCGGACCCACCCCTGCACCCCCTGGCCTCAGCGGCCCGGGAGGGCACCAGCCCTGTGCCTGTGTGGCTGCTGCACTTCCAGTCCTTCCGAGCGGCCCGCGTCCCCGCCTCTTAGGCTCCGGCTCGGGCCAGACGCGGCCCTTGGGCCCCTAGCCCACCGCCGCCACCAGCCACGCCGCAGCTCACCCCAAGCAGGCCTGCCCCGCCGGTGCGCGCGGCCCAGGAGGCGGGCTCCGCCCGGCAGCCGCCGCAAATGGCCATTGGGGCCCGGACCAGCCCGCGGGAAGCTGGGAGTGGGCGCGCTCCGGCCGGGCGGGAGGAGAAGGAAGCGGCGGCCGGGCCTCCCGACACTGGCCGGCGACTCCAGGGGGCTGGAGGACAGGAAGTTGAAACCCCCTTTTCGCAGCTGCGGCCCCGTGGCACCAGCTCCTACTGCACCAACCCGCCCAGGCCACAGGCGCGCCGGCGTTTCTGGTTTCCAGTTGAAGAGGGCAGGCGGGAGGGCGCGGGGCACGCGCGCTCGCGCACGCGGCGGGCGGAATCCCCCGGCTCCCGGGAGACCCTGCGGCCCGACCCTCCCCGGTCAAGCCATCCCCCGGGCTGCCGGCCCCTTGCCTAGCTCCGGGGTGCGTTGGGCTTGAACTTTACAGATCGCCAGACCCGAAGTTAAGGGGAGGAGAGGAATGCCTCTGCCACAACCCTGTCTACAAGAAGCGAGATGAGCACACCCTCCTCTGTTAAATATTGCAAGGTGACACTGGATCGCCTCCCACACAGGGATTTTCAAAAGGTCTGGCGGGGGGACTACAGTAAACAAGAAAGGTGTTTTCCCTGATTATTAGTTTCCTAGGGAAGAGCCCCTAAGGACTCTGCAGACGGAGGGGCTTTTAATCTGTGTGCCTGAACTCCAATCAGCAGCTACGCACAGAATTAGAAGTGTGTCCAAAAGGCGTTTCCGTAAAACAGAAACTTAATAATGGCGTGGCTCCACTCGCTCGGGTTCATTCATTTATTACTGTTTTCATTGTCCCCTCCTCCCTCCCACCCGGTCTCTCTATGAAACCGGAAAGGGAACCGCGTGGGGAAAGGGGTACTAAAAAGGGGGCATCCGCCTGAGGAGCGGCAGACAGAGGAGGACGGTGAAGTAGGAGCGCTGCAAGGAGAAAGGAAGGACACGAGGGATGGAGAGACAGCGAGGACCAGGGCCAAGGGCGGCGGGCGGGAGAGGGTTAAAGGCAACAGGAGACAAGGTCCTCCCTCCACTGCCTTTCACACTCCGGTTGCGGGAGAGGCCAAGCGAGAAAACCCAAATCTAGATGAAAACCGGGGGAGGGGAGGGGAGCACAGGTAGGCGATCTGGACTGTGGCATCTCTCCCGCCTTCCCTGTCGCGCAGACATCACCCTGTGCACACACATATGTTCTGTGTTATATAATCTATATAAAAGATGCCTATGTAGCCGCGGTTCACACAGGGGCACCCACAGACCTCGCGCTTCATGTACCCCCCCCCCCCCAGCGTCTCCTGCACCCGGGAGACCCGAGAACTCAGCGATCAGCTGGCTGCCCGCGATTCATCGCTCCATTCACGCCCAGGCAGGGAATACCGACATTAAGGCACTCCGGGAAGACGCGCAGGGCTCCCGGGAACAGTATCAGGCGAAAGCATCACGTACCAGTTTTCCTGCATCCATTGGATGGCTTCATTCTCGTTGAACTGCTTTTCGAATTCATATTCTTGTAAAGTCAACACTGACATGTTCATTGGGGCTGATCTTCGGAGTCGCTACGTGTTCTCTATACAAAATAAAATAATCTGTAAAGCGCTTGATTTCGAGTGTTCTCCTGTCTGCTTCCCCCACCCACCCCCCTAGGTCTTCCCCACGCCGCTCGGTCTCCAGCGGTCGTCTCTTCTCCCAGCCTCTCAGCTACATCCAGGGCTGAGCATTGCCTGCGCCTCCGCTCCCAGCTCCTCTCTCTGGGGCTCTCCTCCTCCCGGCGTCCGCATCCACCGTAGGAGGAAATGAATGCCTTGCGGTCTTAGTGCCCGCACGTTTGTCCATCACCCTTTTTACTCGTCTACAGGGAAATCTCCTCCCCCTCGTGCGATTTGAGAAATTAACCCTTGGCGAGGGAGTGTGCGAAAGAGCGCGACCTCTCTCCGCCCGGGGGGGACAGTTTTGTTTACAGCGAAGGTGGTTGGAAGAGTGGGGGAAGGGCGCAGAGAGAAAGGAAGTGGCCTGGAGGTCATCCAGATCCCCTAAGCCCAACCTCGTGGGCCGCCTTGCTTTGAATGAAGTTTCAGCTTGCAGGGCGCATCCCCGCGGCGCGTGGACCCGAGAGCTTGGCGAGTAAACGATTGGGAAATAGTAAAACCTGCCAGCTCTCTTGCAAGAGAACTCCGGGCAAATCTACGTTGAGATCACCAGTGAAGGGAATACGCTTCCCACCTCCTCGCCCTACCTCTGGGACCACCCCCACCCCTACCCCCACCCCCACCCGGGAGCTCTGGCTTAGATTCACGCTAACCCAGGCCCTGCGGACGGCAGAGCTCCTTAATCTCGTACAGACAGGGGATGCTGAGTGTGAGGATAGTGGATAGGCGAGAGAGGCTAGTAGCCGGAAGTGGAAGAAAGGGCTGGGTTAGGTGGAGGGTTTAGGTACCGGGAAGGGGGGGATTAATGAACAGAGGCAGAGTGGGGAAGGAAGCTGACAGGAGAACTGGACCGACTGGCCAAATGCAAAAACTTTATTTGCATGCATGAGAAATTTGGCTTTACTTGCTGTACTTGTAGGTAGAACAGAATATGTGAGGAGAGGGCTGAATGTACTGTTGACCCCTACTGGGCCCTCAGCCTCCAAGAGGAAAAACTATTTTCTATTCCATCCATCCCTCCACTCATTTCCCCCAAGAGTTTGGAAAAATGAAATATGAGACATGGAAGTATCTAATGATGTAATTGTAAACTTTACAAAATAATAAGGAGCCCTGCTTTTAAAAATTAGGTGGATATTAGGACCAGAAAGAAAATTCCCCTTCTGAGAACATCCCCCCACCTCCCCAGTAGTCCAAAAAGGGTACTTTCATTCAATTTAGATGCCTCTAACCCACAAAAAGTGGGAACTGGGAGAAAAATTTTTAAAGGAGGAAGGGACCGGCCGCGGTGGTGGCTCACAGAAGTAATCCCAGCACTTTGGGAGGCCGAGGTGGGCGGATCACCTGAGGTCAGGAGTTCAAAACAGCCTGGCCAACATGGTGAAACTCCGTCTCTACTAAAAATATAAAAATCAGGCAGGCGTGGTGGCGGGCACCTGTAACCTCAGCTACTCAGGAGGCTGAGGCAGGAGAATCGCTTGAACCCGTGAGGTAGAGGTTGCAGTGAGCCAAAATTCTGCCACTGCACTCCAGCCTGGGCGACAGAGGGAGACTCTGTCTCCAAACAAACAAACAAAAAAAAAAAAGAGGAAGGTCTAATGAGAAAGTAAAGAAATAATTTTTAAAATCCAGTACAATATATAGATTAAAGGGCTAGCCTAGTTGATTAGCAAATTAATGTATACATTGACACTGCCAAAGATTCTGTGTAGGGACTGTCCTCATCTCCCCCATTAAGGGTTGTCTTTCTTTTTTCTTTTTCTTTTTTTTTTTGAGATGGAGGAGTCTCGCCCTGTTGCCCAGGCTGGAGTGCAGTGGTGCAAACTCGGCTCACTGCAACCTCCGCCTCCCAGGTTCAAATGGTTCTCTTGCCTCAGCCTCCCCAGTAGCTGGGATTATAGGCAAGCACCACCACGCCCGCCTAATTTTTGTGTTTTTAGTAGAGATGGGGTTTCACCATGTTGGCCAGGCTGGCTGTGATCCACCTGTCTCAGCCTCCCAAAGTTCTGGGATTACAGGCATGAGCCACCATGCCCAGCCAAGGGTTGTCTTTCTAGAGACCTCTACAGTACAAGTCTACGTCACTTTGAAGTAAGGCCCAGGCCAAAACTCTTGGCAAGATTGGGCTGGAAGATAGGTGTGGCCAGATAAGAAAGAACCATTTTAGCACGGTGCCTGAGCCTGTGAATAATCAATAAATATTTGTAAAGTGAATGATTCATCAAATAAATTAAGGTAAGAAGTGAGAAAGGAATCAAGACAGAAAATCCACTTTGGGTGGCTGAGGCAAGACAATTGCTAGAGACCAGACTGGGCAACATAGTGAGGCTCCATCTCTACAAAAAATTAAAAATTAGCCAGGTGTGGTGGTACATGCCTGTAATCCCAGTTACTCTGGAGGCTGAGATGGGAGGATAGCTTGAGCCTGGGAGGTCAAGGCTGCAGTGAGCCATGATCACACCACTGCAGTCCGGCTTGGGTGACAGAGTGAGACCTTATCTCAAAAACAAACAAGCACTGTCAGTGACTTTGAAAACTGGTGACTCTGTATGGAAAGCAATTTGGCAGCCTATATGATAATTTCATTTATTTTTTAGAGATGGGGACTTGTTATGTTTTCCACGCTAGGACTATAGGCACCCAGCATATATCACAATTTTAAATCCACACCATTAATTCACCAGAATTATTTTTTTTTTTGAGATGATGTCTCCCTCTGTTGCCCAGGCTGGAGTGCAGTGGCGCGATCTCGGCTCACTGCAACCTTTGCCTCCTGGGATCAAGTGAGTCTCCTGTCTCAGCCTTCCAAGTAGCTGGGATTACAGGAATGTGCCACCATGCCCAGCTAATTTTTGTATTTTTAGTACAGACAGGGTTTCACCATGTTGGCCAGGACGGTCTTGAACCCCTGACATCAGGTGATCTGCCTGCCTCAGTCTCCCAAAGTGCTAGGATTATAGGCGTGAGCCATCGCACTTGGCCTACCAGATATATTTTGAGTACATACTCATCTGAGCTCTTGGGACTCACAAATGAGACAAACAGGGCTCTTGCGC
Source organism: Homo sapiens (assembly GCF_000001405.40). NCBI lineage: Eukaryota > Metazoa > Chordata > Mammalia > Primates > Hominidae > Homo > Homo sapiens. Next base: position 110,201,503 of record NC_000004.12, read on the forward strand.
ACTTGGAGCTTACATTCCAGAAGGGAAGACAAAATAATTTCTTAGAGAATGAAATGCTAGGATTACAATTTAACAGCATGACATGAAGGCCTGGGAGTGCTCATTTAAACCTGGAAGGCCTCAGGGAGAAGGACTTTGAGTTGAGACCCCGCTGGCAAAGAGCCAGCCACCTCTTGCAGAAGTGTTACAAAGAAGAATGAGCAAGTACAAAGGCTCCTAGGAAAAGAATAAATTTGCGGGATTGAGGACAAAAGGCTGGTGTGGCTTCAGGCCATCAGTAAGGAGTAATTGAAAGAAACAGGTTGAAGAGACAGGCAGGGGTCAGATCTTGGCCACAGGTAAATCAAGATAAGGTGTTTAGATTTTATTCTCAACTGCAGTGGAGTGGAGGAGGATAAAAGAATGTTAAACCGAATAATAGCATGATAATTCCTAGTAAATTCACTGCTATGGATATACTCACCGAAACATTCCGGATATATGTCTAAGATATTCAGCATTGGGCTGGCATTATGCTTGTAATCCCAGCACTTTGGGAGGGCGAGGTGGGCTGATTGCTGGAGCCCAGGAGTTCAAGCCCAGCCTGGGCAAGATGGTGAAAACCTGTGTCTACAAAAAAAAAAAATACAAAAACATTAGCTGAGCATGGTGGCATGTGTCTATATTCCCAGCTACTCAGCAGGCTGAAGTGGGAAGATCACCTGAGCCTGGGGAGGTCAAGGCTGGAGTGAGCCATGATTGCGCCACTGCACTCCAGCCCGAATGACAGAGTGAGACCTTGTCTCAAAAAATGACAACACCAACAAAGAAAACCCCCACAAATATATTCAGCACTGTTTATAATAAAACACTGAAAATAATAGTTTAAGGGATAATTGGAAGGACAGCCAAGAAAGGAATGAGGTCAATAGACTCAAGTCAATGTGATTCATTGTCAGTCCTGGTGGGCTACCTCTTGACAAAAGCAGAGGAGGCAGCCCCGCTTACAGGCTATATAGCAAGGTTTTATAGGGCATATAACTGGGTCAGGGTGAAGGAAAAAGAAAAGGCCAGGGAGTAGGGGATCCTTTGTGCCAGGTGTCTGACCGCTTCCTGGAGTTGTTTTTCTTGCCAGTTCTGTTGTGTAAGGTAGACTTCTTGACCGCATCCTGGAACAGCTGGCCTCGGGTCCGACAGTTACAGGTGGGGCTTTGGGGCTTAGGTCTATGGGAGCGGGAAACAGTCCAGTTGGGTGGACCCTAACATTCCAGCCTTTTAACAGATGATAGAGAAGGGGCATTGATTTCATCAGACTGCTTCAGGCTGAGAGTGGGCAGGGGCTAGGGGAAAGGCTGGAAAGTGGAGGTTGGCTTTGGTTTTGAAAGTGTTGATACTCCTGGAGTAACATCATGACCTGTATGGTTCCATGGGCAAAGGCATGGATACGATTCTGCAAAAACTGGGTGAAGAGGAGTATTAGGCAAGGACCTAAGATTAGGAGGAGAAAAAGGATTACAGCAGGTCCAAGGAGAGAGGGTAGCCAGGCGGCCCAGGTGCTGAGAGATCAAGAGGGCCACGTAGAGGAGCTGCTTTCCCTGATCTTTTGGGCTCGATCTTTGAGATTTTGTTTGTTTGTTTGTTTGTTTTTTACTGCATCCTGAACTAAGCCTGACTGGTTAAAATAAAAGCAGCATTCTTCATCTAGGAAAATGCAGAATCCTCCTTTGTCGGTGGTAAGTAGGTTGAGACCTCTCTGATTTTGTAAGGCGACTGCCGCTAGGGAGTCCAGCTGAGCTTGTAAGGGGATATGGAAGTTGCAAGGTTGTCTATACCATCTGAAAGGTCTTTTGATAAGGTTTTATGGTAATAAGAGGAGGTTGCGATTCCTGCTACCCCTGTACCTGCGGCCACTGTGATGCCTAGGTCTACAAATAGTGGGATAAGTTGTATGGCCTGGCGCCTGCTGTGTGGGATTTGAGTATTTAGGGTTTGGAGGGGCAGGTTTTCTCCTGGAGCTATGTCTATTTTAGGGCTGAGGAAGACCAGTGTACAGGTGCCTGTACAGTTGGTGGGTAGACAGAAGCAGGTGGAGGTGCTGCATAGAAAGAATATACCTTGGCTAGGGAGGCAGAATTGGGACTGTATGGCAAAAAGGGGGTGTAAAACGTTCTCTGAGCACCAGGCGTGGAGGTAGATGTCTTGACTGCATCCTGGAACAGCTGGCCTCTGGTCAGACAGTTACAGGAAGGTTTAGGGTAGTGGGTTTTACTTTTGGCCTTTGAGGCTTAGGTCTAGGGGAGGGGGAAACAGTCCGGTTGGGTGGACCCTAACAAATAGGAGGCTGATTAAATAAATGGTGACACACCCTTATAATTGAATAGTATAAAGTCTTTTAAAAAAGGCTCTGTAGGTTGCAACATCAAAAGAGATTTCTGATAAATGTTCAAGGAAAATGAAAAAGCAAGGCACAGGACATTGTGTATATAGTGTCGCATTAAGAAAAAAACATCTCTCGTTGTAGTGGTTGGGGAGGAAAAAAAGAGGAAAACATGTAAGGCCGGATGTGGTGGCTCACACCTGTAATGCCAGCCATTTGGGAGGCTGGGGAAGGAGGATCGCTTGAGCTCAGGAGTTTGAGACTGCCTAGGCAACATAGTGAAACCCTGTTTCTACAAAAAGAAAATAATAATAATAATAATTTTTAAAAAATCATTAGCCAGATGTGGTGGCACAAGCCTGTGGTCTTGAGCCATGTTAGTGTTACTGCACTCCAACCTAAGGCAACAGAGCAAGACATCAGCTAAAAAAAAAAAAAAGAAAGAAAGAAAAGAAAAGAGAAACATCTACACTGTACTTTTTTTTTCTGGAAAGACAAAAACAAGAATTAATTGGTGATGTATACATTGAGAAAAAACCTGAGAGCAAACAAAAGACGGTTTCTGTACTTTATTTTTCTGTAGTGCTAGAATTTTCTTACCATGAACTTGATTTCATTTAAAAAAAAAGAAAAAAAATCAACAGGAATACCTGAGCTGTGAAATAATGAGTCACTTTTCTATTTGTAATTTTCTATACTGAACAACTTAACATGTAACATAATATTAGAAGCTAAACATATAAAATGGTGATTTTTCTAGACTTATTTTCAATTACAAGACATACAGTAAGGTTAGGAAAGATGGGAGGGAATGTTGGGAGGGTGCCCAGCAACACCACTAAGAATTTTTATGAAAAGATTTATTGTGTGTGTTTCTAACCATAACTAGATAGGTAGCTAATATTGAATATAAATAACTGGGGCTCAAAAAGTAACAGTTAATTTATATTTGGTAGTAAACTTTTAAAAATTTGGGAGGCCGAGGTGGGCGGATCATGAGGTCAAGAGTTTGAGACTAGCCTGGTCAACATAGTGAAACCCCGTTTCTACTAAAAATACAAAAAATCAGCTGGGCGTGGTGGCGGGCGCCTGTAATCCCAGCTACTTGGGAGGCTGAGGCAGGAGAATCGCTTGAACCCGGGGGGCAGAGGTTGCAGTGAGCTGAGATGGCGCCACTGCAATCCAGCCTGAGAGACATTGCTAGACTCTGTCTCGAGAAAAAAATAAAAATTAAGCCAGAAGAGAAGGAGGAGTATTTGAAAGACAGAAAGATTTACTGCAAAGATGACTTGACTACTAAACAAGGTATACAGGTTTTAGTCTTGGCTCTTTTACAGACAGGTATCTGACTTTAGGGAAAGTAAATTGATCCTTTAATTTTCTTTTCTTTTCTTTGTTTTTGTTTTTGTTTTTTGAGACAGTCTAGCTTTGTTGCCCAGGCTGAATGGAGTGTGGTGGTGTAATCATGGCCCACCTCATCCTTGAACTCCTGGGCTCAAGTGAACCTCTTGCCTCAACTTCCCAAGTAGCTGGGACTACGGGCACCCACCACCAAGCCCTGCTAATTTTTAAAAAATGTTTTGTAGAAATGAGGTCTCACCACGTTGCCCAGGCTGCTCTCAAACTCCTGAGCTCAAGAGATCCTCCCGCCTCAGTCTCCCAAAATGGTGGAATTACAAGGCGTGAGCCACCTCACCCAGCCTAATTTTCTTTCTATACATAAAATAACCAGTACTATGCTGGAGGATCTTCATACCAGCCCCCAATTTTTGTGACATACAAATATGTTAAAATACACATACATTATTTTCGGAAACTTCTAACACTAATCTGCTTTTCCAGGCCTCTTTCCTTAGGCCGACTCCAACCAAGCTGAACCACTTGATGTCATCTGACCACCTCAAACTTTGCTATCTCTGCTGCATTTCTCCATCAGTTCCCTCTGTTTGGAATATCAATATCCTCCCCTCCTAACCCCACCTGTCCCATTCCTACCTGTCAAAATCAGTCCACTCTTTGGATACTTACGAACGACTTCCTACTTAAAGCCTTCCCTGTTCACAGAGATGATTTCTCTCTTTCTTGTCTCCTAACCTCTTGAAGTCCTTGTTATCAAAGCTTTTATAAACCTCAGGCCCTTAGCTCATCATCCTCTCCCATGTAGGAAATTAAAAATCCCTTGATCGCAGGAACGATGACTTCCTGAAGCCAAAGTTTCTTAGGGTGCCATAACAATTACCACAAACTTGATCAAACTTGATGGCTTAAAAATAACAAAAATGTATTCTCATGTCATTCTGGAGGTTAGAAGTCCAAAATCCAGGTGTCAGGAAAAAAATAATCAAAATACTGCTGATCAGTTTAGGGAGAAAAAGAAATCAAGATGTCTGCAGAGTTGGCTTCTGGAGGCTCTGAGGAAGAAATTGTCCCATACCACTAGCTTCTGGTGGTTGCTGGCAAACTGTGGCATTCCTTGGCTTGTAGACACATTACTCCAATTTCTGCCTCCATCTTCACATCACCCTCTTCTCTCCGTCTTTCTGTCTTCTTTCTATTTCTTATAAACTCACTTTCATTGGATTTAGGATCCACCCTAATCTAGTATCATCTCATTTAGATCCTTATCTTTATTATGTCTGCAAAGACCCTTATTCCAAATAAGGTCCCATTCTGATGTTCCAGGTGGACATGAATTTGGAGGAAGGGACACTATTCAATCTCCTGACCATGGCTCCCCAGCAGCCTTCCTCCCATGACACCAGCTTGTATGTTTTCTGTCATTATTCCAAATTACAGATGTGAAGCTGAAGCACACTGATGTTAAGTAGTCAGCCCAAGAGCTCTCAATTCTTTAGCTGTAAAGTCAAAATCTAAATCCAGATACTCTGGATCCATCTTCTTAACCACCACAGTTGAGTCCTCCTCCCACTCGCAGGCCAGAGAGTGTGTATTTTTAGCCAAAAAGAGACATTTCTTCTCAACTTTAGACCATAGAACAGGATGAATCCAATTGACATAATTTACCTTTTTTCCTCTTCATCACCTCCTCTTACTCTCAGGGAACATTGACCAACTGAATATTTATAAAGAGCTTTTCTTTATTAACTTACATGGGGATGGAAAATACGTCTCTTTTGCCCTGAACTAGTTTCAATATTTGATTCTAACTCTGGAAACAAAACCTACAACGTAGGCTTATTAGAAGCTGCAAATTTGTACTAGAGAATAAGATATTTTCAACACACATGATAGAATATTGATGTCTTATTGAGAGGGAAACATCTGCAAATAGGGAAGAAATTTGCACCATCCCAATAGATGGATGAGAAAAAGATCCAGATAGACTCCTATATGAGACTATCAGTTGATTTAGAAAAGTACATGTTGATAGAAGTAATAATAGATCTCATTTATTGAGCATCTGCTGTTAAGACCTTACATGCATTGTCTCATTTCATCCTTATAACAACTCCATGCAATAACTCCATTTTATAGATGAGGAAAGTGGAGTTTGGAAATTTTAAGGATCCTGTCTAATTTGCCAAATGGCTAGGTTAGATTGCCCAATCTGTCTGATTCCAAAGTCTGGCTTCCATGCCATAACCCTGTATAGTCAAAAAGCCACTGTGAATTCAGTAATGGGTGGCATTTCTGTAGTTTATTAATTACAACAGCATCTTCATACATGTAGAAGAGTCCAGGCGAGGTGGCTCACACCTGTAATCCCACTACTTTGGGAAACCAAGGTGGGAGGATTGATTGAGCCTAGAAGTTCGAGACCAGCCCGGGCAAGATCCCGTCTCTACAAAAAAAAAAAAAGTATGTATGTATTTATTTATTTATTTATTTGAGATGGAGTCTCACTCTGTCTCCCAGGCTGGAGTGCAGTGGCACAATCTTGGCTCACTGGAACCTCCACCTCCTAGGTTCGAGCGATCTTCCTCCCTCAGCCTCCCAAGTAGCTGGGACTACAGGCGCATACCACCACACCCAGCTAATTTTTGTGTTTTTAGTAGAGATTGAGTTTTGCCATATTGACCAGGCTGCTCTCGAACTCCTGACCTCAGGTGATCCACCCACCTCGGCCTCCCAAAGTGCTGGGATTACAGGCCTAAGCTACTGTGCCTGACCCCAAAATCTTAAAAATTAGTTGTGTATAGTGGCATACATTAGTAGTAGTAGTCTCAGCGACTTGGGAGGCTATAGTGGGAGGATCTCTTGAGCCCAGGAGGTCAAGGCTGCAGTGTGAGCCATGTCATGCCACTGCACTCCAGCCTGAGTGATAGAGCAAGACTGTCTAAAAAAAAAAAAAAAAGATAACTGTGCATATATTTATGACGCATATTACTCTTTCAGCCTACGGCAAGCTAAGGACCTGTTGCAGTAAACTCAGAATCACTAAGTCCATGGACCAGTATGGGAAGTCCTGATGTAAATTTAGCAATCCTTGGCCAACATAATCAACACAGAGCCAGGCTTTATTAGTTATCTACAGTATGTAGGGCATCTATTGGTCCAGATATCTAAAGAATACCTGATCCCTGTTTCCTAAGAGAATAGGACTCAGGTACCTACTTAGCTTGCACCTGGGAGTTCTGATCCAAACCCCCACATCACCCCAGGATTACATAGCTATTTCCACAGTTCTAGAGATTTCTAAACTGAAAAACAAACCTCAAATGGGTGGATTTATTTTTTCTTGCTTCCTAACTAGTTGACCTGTATTTACCCCACGGGAGATACAGGGATCTGAGTCATAATTTCTTCATGTATCTTCTTTGGTGCCCGCAAGCTGACATTAAGTCTGAGCAAAGGGCACAACTGGAAAGGGAATACTACTCTTTTTTTTTTTTTTTTTTTTTTGAGATGAAATCTCACTCTGTCGCCCAGGCTGGAGTGCAATGGCACGATCTCGGTTCACTGCAACCTCTGCCTCCCGGGTTCAAGCAATTCTCCTGCCTCAGGCTCCCGAGTAGCTGGGATTACAGGCGTGTGCCACCACATCTGGCTAATTTTTTTGTATTTTTAAGCAGAAACGGGGTTTCACCATATTGGCCAGGCTTGTCTCGAACTCCTGACCTTGGGATCCACATGCCTCAGCCTCCCAAAATGCTGGATTACAGGCATGAGTCACAGTGCCTGGTCAGAAATACTACTCCAAATACAGTTACATGTTGCACTTTCATTCTGGTCCTACCTACAGAGGTTGTCAATACAGGAATCGCATCTGATTTTTTCCCCCTACTGAACTTTGCTGTCCACCTAATTGCAGAAAAAAATTTAAGTCTGACACCATTGTGTTTTGTAAAAAGGAAAGGCTTTTTTGGTGTGTTCTTAATTTTTGCAAATAAAAAATTAATCCAGAAACTAGTAACTGCCTCAGAAGAGAAAAATCAATATTCATTTCCTGACTATTTCACTTTAGACCTCTCTGAACATCACAATTTCTAGGAAGAAAAATATATCTGGGTTACAATTCCATCCACTAATTCTGACTTTGGGCAAGTTGCTTACATTCTTTAAAACATGTTTCCTTTGTTTCTTTCTTACTTTCTTTTTAAATATAGAAAGTGGGAATGATAATGGTACAAACTTCACAAGATTGCTGTGAGGATTAAATTAAATCATCATCTATTAAGTTGGTTAATACCTGCCATAGTTGATAAATTCTCAAGGAATATGAACCTCGGCCCTAAATACCATATTCCTATGATGAATTACTAGGGGGATACAAATAAACCTGTCCCATAAAATGTATTGTATCAACAAACATTCCTTATTGATCTTGGAGGAATTTGAGGTACATATAAAAGATACTAAATATTTTATAAATTAGAGGAGTACAAATAATTACATAAAAAGAGACTTACATCCCAAGGTAGATACCTACAAAAGTTTAACTAAAAGAACCATGAGTACAACAGTTAAGAGGACCAAATTGGATTTTTAAAAAGTATAAGAAGGAAATGTGATAGGCACTTACAAGTCCAGTTTTTAGCCGGGCACAGTGGCTTACGCCTGTAATCCCAGCACTTTGGGAGGCTGAGGTGGGCAGATCATGAGGTCAGGAGATCGAGACCATCCTGGCCAACATGGTGAAACCCTGTCTCTACTAAAAATACAAAAATTAGATGGGCGTGGTGGTGCACGCCTGTAATTCCAGCTACTCGGGAGTCTGAGGCAGGAGAATCGCTTGAACCCGGGAGGCAGAGGTTGCAGTGAGCCGAGATCATGTCATTGCACTCCAGCCTGGGCAACAGAGTGAGACTCCGTCTTAAAAAAAAAAAGAAAAAAAAAAAAGTCCAGTTTTACCCTGGAGTTTTCACAACACTGTAAGCAAGTGCTTTCAACACTGAAAACAGTTTCTGCCAGAAACCTGAAGTTTGTGAGTTAAAAATTTCTTTCTTTCTTTTTTTTTTTTTTTTTCTGAGATGGAGTTTTGCTCAGGCTGGAGTGCAATGGTGCGATCTCGGCTCACCACAACCTCTGCCTCCTGGGTTCAAGTGATTCTCCTGCTTCAGTCTCCCGAGTGGCTGGGATTACAGGCATGTGCCACCACACCTGGCTAATTTTGTATTTTTAGTAGAGATGGTATTTTTCCATGTTTGTCAGGGTCTTGAACTCCCGACCTCAGGTGATCTGCCCGCCTCAGCCTCCCAAAGTGCTGGGATTACAGGCGTGAGGCACCATGCCTAGCCTCTTTTTTTTTTTAGATGGAGTTTCACTCTGTCTCTCAGGCTGCAGTGGAGTGGCATGATCTTGCCTCACTGCAAACTCCACCTCCCAGGTTCAAGCAATTCTCTTGCCTCAGCCCAGCTAATTTTCATATTTTTAGTAGAGATGGGGTTTCACCATGTTGGCCAGGCTAGTTTTGAACTCCTGACCTCAGGTGATCCACCCGCCTCGGCCTCCTGAAGTGTTGGGATTATAGGCATGAGCCACCGTGCCTGGCCAAGTTAAGAATTTCACTTTGATAGTGAGTGACAGGAGCAGGCGTGGTGGCTCACACCTGTAATCCCAGCACTTTGGGAGGTTGAGGCGGGTGGATCACCTGAGGTCAGGAGTTCGAGGCCAGCCTGGCCAACATGGTGAAACCCTGTCTCTACTAAAAATACAAAAAAAATTAGCCAGGCATGGTGAGGCATGCCTGTAATCCCAGCTACTCGGGAAGCTGAGGAAGGAAAATTGTTTGAACTTGGGAGGCGGAGGTTGCCGTGAGCCGAGATCGCACCATTGCACTCTAGCCTGCGCAACAAGAGTGAAACTCCGCCTCAAAATAAATAAATAAATAAATAAATAAATAAATAAATAAATAAATAAAGATAGTGAGAGACACAGAGCAATTGAGGTCGAGGGAATTACTTTGTCTTGGCCCCTGGGGACTCAGGGCCTCTCTGGGAAAGGAGATGGACTAGATCATGAGCTTCTATCTTTCTTGTGCTTTCTTTATTTCTGATGTATTCCAATATACTTTCTCTATACACATTCGATACGCAAAAGTATTCAATAGTACAAAGATTTGTTTGCACTACGTATGAAAACCTGAAGAACTCTATTTGATTATGAAAGCAGATTTCCCCTTGTTGCTTTTAAGACCTTAGTGCCCCTAGAGGACAACTGGGCAATGCGCATATGAAGGGAAACCTAGATGCTACTTTTATTTTAATTACTGAGATCTCTTTTGTTCTCTACTTATGTATATGTGTTTTAATGAACTGACTGTTGGGAAGTTGCATTTACTCCTTATTTATGTTAATAGAAAAGAAAAGATGCATGGAAAATATCTAATGATGAATGAACCCACTTTTAAAATTTGATACTTGAATTACAAAGAAATACGCAGGCCCTCTTTTGCTATCCCTCTGATATGTTGGGTCCAAACTATAGATGAGGCCTCAAGAAAGGCATGGGCCCCAGTGGGCTGCCTTTTCCAACCGTGATCCAGCCTTCACCATCAGAGGCATCAGAGAGAGACCATGACTGGGGCTTCAGATGAGCAGAGAGTTGACTGTTGTGTAAGGTTTAGGAGGCCATTTTAACACCTTGTAATGTGAGCTTATAACAGTGAACACCAATTAACTCCTAAGGACTATCTTTTCAGCCTGTTCCAGGCCAGGTAATTTAAATGGAAAAAAAAAAGCCTCAAATATTTTTTATTATATCGAACTTCTGAAGATTCTTTCCATCTTGTTTCAGTATTAAGAAGAATTGTGTCATCTTGAGTAATTGATCTATTATAAAGAATGCCGTCAGCCTGGGTAACACAGGGAGATCCCATCTCTACAAAGAAAAAAAAATTAGGCCAGGCGCAGTGGCTCACGCCTGTAATCCCAGCACTTTGGGAGGCCGAGGCAGGCAGATCACGAGGTCAGGAGATCGAGACCATCTTGGCTAACACGGTGAAACCCCGTCTCTACTAAAAATACAAAAAATTAGCCGGGCATGGTGGTGGGCGTCTGTAGTCCCAGCTACTCAGGAGGCTGAGGCAGGAGAACGGCATGAACCCGGGAGGCGGAGCTTGCAGTGAGCGGAGATCGCGCCACTGCACTCCAGCCTGGACGACAGAGCGAGACACCATCTCAAAAAAAAAAAAAAAAATTAGCTGGGTGTGGTGGCGCAAGCCGGTAGTCCCACTCAGGCTTAGGTGGGAGGCTGAGGTGGGAGGATTGCTTGAGCCCGGGAGGTCAAGGCTGCAGTGAACCATGATTGTGCCACTGCACTCCAGCCTTGGTGACAAAGTGGATTTTGTCAAAAGAAAGGAAGGACAGAGAAGAAAAAAATAAAGAGAGAGAGGAAAAAGGAAAGAAACAAAGAAAGAGAAAGGAAAGAAGGAAGGAAACTGATCCACATCTTCATTGTTAGAACTTGGAGGCAAATCTGTGACTTGTCCTTGTGGCAAGTGTTTACCTTTATATAATACATATTTTTAACCTCATTGCCCTTCTTCTTATACTGTTACCTTATTTTTTAATTAGTTAATTTTTTGAGTTGGGTTCTCACTCTGTCACCCAGGCTGGAGTGCGCTGGCACAATCGTGGCTTACTGCAGCCCCAAACTCCTGACCTCAAGTTATCTTCCCACCTCGGTCCTTCCTATCTTGTATTAATTATTTTGTTGAATTTTATACTTTATATATAACAAGGTAGAAAACGAATGGAAGAAGGGAAAGAAGGAAGAGAAGGACGGAGTGAAGAAGGCTTACTAGTCTCAAATGCATACAAAGCAAGACTTGGAAGGAGTCATTATAGCTGCCTGTTAGAAGACGAATATCTTTTTATTGTTGTTGAGACAGTGTGCTGCTCTGTCACCCAGACTGGAGTGCGGTGGTGCAATCTCAGCTCACTGCAACCTCCACCTTCTGGGCCCAAGCAATTCTCCCACGTCAGCCTCCTGAGTAGCTGGGACTACAGGCATGCACCACCATGCCCAGCTAATTTTTGCCTTTTTTTTTTTTTTTTTTTTTTTTTTTTTTGTAGAGGCTGGGTTTCATCATGTTGCCCAGGCTGGTGTCGAACTCCTGGGGTCAAGCAATCCACCCATCTAAGCCTCCTAAATTGCTGGGATTACAGACGTGAGCCACCACACTAGTCCCAGAAGACAAATACCTTGAAAAAGAAAAGTGTGGCAGTGGAAAGAGTACTAGGCCTCCTGTCAGAAGGCCTGAGTTCTTTCCCAGTCCTGCCATTAACTTGCTGGGGAATCCTGGTATATTAGTTGGGGTTCTCCAGAGAAAGAGAACCAGTGTGATATATAAAGAGATTCATGCCAGGCGTGGTGGCTCACACCTGTAATTCCAGCACTTTGGGCGGCCGAGGCAGGTGGATCACCTGAGGTCAGGAGTTCAAGACCAGCCTGGCCGACGTGGTGAAACCCCGTCTCTGCTAAAAATACAAAAATTAGCTGGGCATGGTGGCATGTGCCTGTAATCTCAGCTACTGGGGAGGCTGAGGCATGAGAATTGCTTGAGCTTGGGAGGCAGAGGGCTGCAGTGAGCCGAGATTGTGCCATTGCACTCCAGCCTGGGCGACAGAGTGAAACTGTGTCTCAAAAAAAAAAAAAAAAAGAGAGAGAGAGAGAGATTTATTGTAAGGTATTGGCTTACATGATGGTAGAGACTGAGAGGCCCCATGATCTACCATCTACAAGCTGGAGACCCAGGAAAGACAGTGGTGTAGTTTGAAGGCCCAAGATCTAGAGAGTTGGCCAGGTGTGGTAACTTACACCTCCCAGCACTCTGGGAGGCCAAGGCAGATGGATTAACTGAGGTCAAGAGTTCAAGACCAGCCTGGCCAACATAGTGAAACTGTCTGTACTAAAAATTCAAGAATTAACCAGGCGTGGTGACATGCGCCTGTAGTCCCAGCTACTCGGGAGGCTGAGGCAGGAGAATCGCTTGAACTCGGGAGGCGGAGGTTGCGGTGAGCCAAGATTGCACCACTGCACTCCAGCACTCCATCCTGGGTGACAAAGCAAGACTCTGTCTCAAAAAAAAAAAAAAAAAAAAAAAGAAATAGAGAGCTAACGGGGTAAATTCAGCAAATTCAGTCTTGGTCTGAAGGCCTGAGAGCCAAGGATGCCAATGGTGGGAGAAAATCAATTTTCTAACACAAGCATCCAGACAGAGAGTGAATTTCACTTTTTTGTTCTACTTGGCCCCTTAATGGATTGGATGATGTCCACCTACATGGCAGGAGGCCATCTACTTTACTCAGTTCACCAATTCAAATGCTAGTCTCTTCCAGAAACACCTCACAGATACAGCTAGAAATAATGTTTAACCTTATCTGGGCATCCTGTAGCCAAGTTAAATTGAAATATAAAATTAACTGTCACACTTGGACAAATCCCTTCACCTTTCTGGGCCTCAGTTTCCCTATTATGAAATGAAGAGATTGGATAATATAGTCAGTAAAGTCTCCTCCAGCTTGAAAGTTTTATCGTTTTTTTTTCTTTTAATTTTTTGCTCTGTCTTATGGTGCTGAGAAAGTTTTATGGCTCTAAGCAGGCAAATGAGAAAGGGAAAAGAGAACTTTGACAAACTGGCTACTTTACAAACTGCATGCCACCCCCAGCCTGACCATCTCTGGTTCATGTTCTTTGAGTGTGATAGGCTCTCAGGCAGTAGATTCTTCTCAGCCAGGTCAACTAGCCAGAGTCTTTCTCAATTAGGTTATGTGGAGATCTCTTATACTTACTTAAGTATCTTGAGAAAGAGCTTTGGAAGAGATATCTGTTATAAAGTCTGATGATTTATAAACTGTCATGTATTTGAGGCCACTTTCTCATCACTTTGAGTTTTCAAAATTGGAGTTTCACTCAGGATGTGGAGGAAGAAAAAAAAATGGGATTACTGGAGATAAAATAACAGGCAAGAGATTAGATGTAAAGAGATTTAGATTAAATGTTAGGGTTTGAGAGGAGACTTGAAATGACAGTGAAAGAAAAATTTTCCAAAGCAAAAGAAGAGATATGGGGAGATAAGCAAATTAGTGACATAAGGGATTTAGTTTGCAACATCAGTAGGGAAAAAAAAAATGGAAAAGCAGAGCTTATAATCTTATTTCTTGCTATATCAAAGTGGACATTTGTTGTTTTTGCCTTTCCTCTTCTGGTAACTGTGTTATAGGACCAACGGGTTCATATGCCCACTGTGCAGGACACACCAGTACACTGAGACAGCAGGGGTTGCAGCAAAAAATAGAATTTAATGATCACAAGTCACCGAGCAAGGAGATGGGAGGGGATCCTCACATGTATCTCCCCGAGGAGTTCTGGGCTGGAGTTTTTAAGGGGATCGTAGAGGGCGAAGGGTTGGAGAATTGGGGTCATTGATTGGTTGGGATAAGAGGGATGAAATAATCAGGATATCAAAACTGCATTCTTTGGTGAGTCAGGTCTTTGTGGGGTCCCTCACACCAGTTGACGTCAGCAGTTATATCAGTATGTAGGACCTGAAAGAATATCTCAATTGGAAAACTTAATATTTTTTTCTTTTTTCTTTTTTTTTTTCGTTTTTATTTTTGAGACAGAGTGTCCCTTTGTCTCCTAGGCTGGAGTGCAGTGGCACGATCTTGGCTCACTGCAACCTCCACCTCCCAGGTTCAAATGATTCTCCTGCCTCAGCCTCCCAAGTAGCTGGGACTACAGGTGCCCGCCACCACACCTGGCTAATTTTTGTATTTTCAGTAGAGATGGGGTTTCACCATATTGGCCAGGCTGGTCTTGAACTCCTGACCTTGTGATGCTCCTGCCTTGGCCTCCCAAAGTGCTGGGATTATAGGCATGAGCCACCGCACCCGGCCTGGAAAACTTAGTATTTTGTAACGTTCAATTTGTTACCCGTATAGCAGTTGGGGGAGCTATAATCTTGTGATGGTCTGTGATTCTGAGGCAACTGGCAGCAAACAGCTACGAGGAAGCGGGTCACAGAGTGAGCTGCCTCATGATTAATGCTGAGTATGCTGCAAGCTGAGTTTACTTTCCTTTCTCTCCTTCCCTTTTTCCCTGACTAATTTATAAAGTTCATAGGGACAGTTTCAACTGCATCCCACTGCTCCTTTGGGGAAATGTGGGAAACCCCTTTATTGCAAGTATACCCTACCAGTCATGGGGCTGCCTTTCTTTCTCTCTGTCTTTCTCTCTCTCTTCTCCTTAACCACAGGTATGGAGTGGGCATTTGACCCAGGTGGGGCAATCTAAGCACCCCATCCCTGAACCCAGTTATTGTTCTAGAGGTGGGCACAAGACCCAAGCAGACCCAATCAAAATATTCCTTAGGGTTACATCATAAACCAATTCAATGAACTTTCACTATCTTCAGGGCTATTCTTCAGCGAGAAGCACAAGATGGTCTGACCCTGGTGATCCATAGATGATAGGCAGTTCATTTCTATTTAGACATAGAGCCATTATTCACTTGGTACTTATTTCTAATAGCCTGTCTATGTCTCTGAGGAGCTGGAAGTTAAGTTAAATGATTCCCTCTTTTTCAAGTCACCTAAAGGCATTCCATTGTTTCTCTTGGGATCACTCAGGGTTTCTTAGACTTGGGAGAGCTTTGCTAATGGAGGAGGGATAAGGTGTGGAGATTACAGAAAAAGTGAAGGTCAAAGAATTCTCAACTGTGAGACGCAACAAAAGACACATGTTGTTGCCAAATGCAAAAGAGACTTCTTTAAAATATGTGTCATCAAATTCTGAACTGCCAGTTAAGAGCTATACCTTCAACTCCTCCTAAAATTCTCTCTCCAGTGCACCTGAATATGAAGTTATTGTCATAAATCTCTAGGTGGCTGGAAAAGTCCTTTCACTACCAATGTCAGAAAGAGTGAAAGAGGGTCTAGCAGATTCCATGGAGTAGCAGCCAGAACTGTCCCGTATTAGTTTATTTTCATGCTGCTGATAAAGACATACCCAAAACTGGGAACAAAAAAAGGTTTAATTGGACTTACAGTTCCACACAGCTGGGGGAGGCCTCAAAATCATGGTGGGAGGTGAAAAGCTCTTCCTACATGGCAGCAGCAAAAGAAAATGAGGAAGAAGCAAAAGTGGGAACCCCTGATAAACCCATCAGATCTTGTGAGACTTATTCACTATCACAAGAATAGCATGGGACAGACTGGCCGCCATCATTCAATTACCTGCTCCAGGGTCCCTCCTACACACGTGGGAATTCTGGGAGATACAATTCAGGTTGAGATTTCGGAGGTGATAGAGCCAAACCATATCATTTCTCCCCTGGCTCCCCCAAATCTCATGTCCTCACATTTCTAAACCAATGATGCCTTCCCAACAGTCCTCCAGTCTTAACTCATTTCAGCATTAACCCAAATGCCCACAGTCCAAAGTCTCATCTGAGACAAGGCAAGTCCCTTCAGTCTATGAGCCTGTAAAATCAAAAGCAAGCTAGTTACTTCCTAGATACAATGGGGGTACAGGTATGGGGTAAATACAGCCATTCCAAATGGGAGAAATTGGCCAAAACAAAGGGGTTACAGGGCCCATGAAAGTCTAAAATCCAGCGAGGCAGTCAAATTTTAAAGCTCCAAGATGATCTCCTTCGACTCCAGGTCTCACATCCAGGTCACGTTGATTCAAGAGGTGGGTTCCCATGGTCTTGGGCAGTTCTGCCCCTGTGGCTTTGCAGGGTAGAGCTTCCCTCCCAGCTGCTTTTATGGGCTGTCGTTGAGTCTCTGCAGCTTTTCTAGGCACACAGTGCAAGCTGTCAGTGAATCTGCCATTCTGGGGTCTGGAGGATGGAGGCCCTCTTGTCATAGCTCTACTAGGTGGTGCCCAGTAGGGACTCTTTGTGGGGGCTCCAACCCCACATTTCCCTTCCACACTGCCCTAGCAGAGGTTCTTCATGAGGGCTCTGCCCCTGCAGCAAACTTATGCCTGGGCATCCAGGTATTTCCATACATCTTCTGAAATCTAGGTGGAGGCTCCCAAACCTGAATTCTTGACTTCTGTGCACCTGCACACTCAACACCACATGGACACTGCCAGGCCTTGGTGCTTCCACCCTCTGAAGCCACAGCCCAAGCTATATGTTGGCCTTTTTCAGCCATAGCTGGAGTGGCTGGGTACAGGGCATCAAGTTCCTAGGCTGCACACAGCATGGGGACTCTGGTCCCAGCCCATGAAACCACTTTTCCTCCTGAACCTCCAGGTCTGTGATGGGAGGGGCTGCCAGGAAGTTCTCTGACATGGCCTGGAGACATTTTCCCCATGGTCTTGGGGATTGACATTAGGCTACTTGCTACTTATGCAAATTTCTGCAGCTGGCTTGAATTTCTCCCCAGAAAATGGGGTTTTCTTTGCTATCACAGAGTCATGCTGCAAATTTTCCAAACTTTTATGCTCTGCTTCCCTGATAAAACTGAATGCCTTTAACAGCACCCAAATTACATCTTGAATGCTTTGCTGCTTAGAAATTTCTTCCATCAGATACCCTAAATCATCTCTCTCAAGTTCAAAGTTCCACAAATCTCTAGGGCAGGGGCAAAATGCTACCAGTCTCTTTGCTAAAACATAACAAGAGTCACTTTTACTCCAGTTGCCAACAAGCTCCTCATCTGCATCTGAGATCTCAGCCTGGACCTTATTGTCCATATAGCTATCAGCATTTTGGGCAAAGCCATTCAACAAGTCTCAAGGAACTTCCCACATTTTCCTTTCTTCTTCTGAGCCTTGCAAACTGTTCCAATCTCTGCCTGTTATCCAGTTCCAAAGTTGCTTCCACATTTTCAGGTATCTTTTCAGCAATGCCCCACTCCTGGTACCAATTTGCTGTATTAGTTTGTTTTCATGCTGCTGCTAAGGACACACCTGAAGCTGGGAACAAAAAAAAGGTTTAACTGGACTTACAGTTGCACATGGCTGGGGAGGCCTCAGAATCATGGCAGGAGGCGAAAGGCTCTTCTTACATGGCAGCAGCAAGAGAAAATGAGGAAGAAGCAAAAGTGGAAATCCCTGATAAACCCATCAGATCTCATGAGACTTATTCACTATCATGAGAATAGCATGGGAAAGACTGGCCTCCATGATTCAATTACCTCCCCCTGGGTCTCTCCCACAACACATGGGAGATCTGGAAGATACAATTCAAGTTAAGATTTTGGTGGGGACCCAGCCAAACCATATAATTGCCTAAGCCTGAGCTGCAGACAGGGATAGCCTCAGGTTCCTGAGGGAACATTTTGGTTTGCCTCTCTCTCTCTCTCTTTTTCTGTTACTCTATCTTCTCCTTTAGTTTAACCACAACCACTTCCTAGACCTTTCCATCAAAGATCTGCCATGTTGAGAGAGAGAAGAAAAATAGATTAATTTAATCACAAATAGAGGTGTGTGATGTGAAATGGCTGATATTGTGAAATGACAACTTGTATTATATTACATAAATTTCCCCTGCATTGTTATTGCTTTTTAAAAATGTGTAGTGTGGGAAACAAAAATGTGACCTTATTTCTTAAGTGAAGTTTTGCCACGTGTATCCATAGCTATTAGGTTTAAACTCTTCATGGTTCTTCTTTGGACAACTGCCTTTTACAAACTACAAGGCTGGTAATGCAGAATACATGAAGATTCACATGTCTTTTTTTTTTCTTCTTTTTTTTAGAGACAGGGTCTCATGCTGTCACACAAGCTGGAGTGCAGTGGCATGATCATGGCTCACTGCAGCCTCAACAACCTAGGCTCAAGCTGAGATGGGAGAATTCCTTTGATCCCTTCACAGGACCCTTGTGAAGGGGATGGCTCATTTACTCGCTGCTGTGCACTCAAACCCCTTATGGGAGCGGTAGCATGCAGGTGAGCCGGGGCAAGTGCTTTTGGGCTCTGGCCTCACAGCACTGTCTAGGAGTGTTAAAATGCTCTTTTAGCTTTGCTGTCTGTGGATGGCTAAATGTTAACCAGATCAGAGGAGAGTCAGGGTGACAGCCTTTTACACCCTGCCCTCTTGGTACCTGGGTTCTTGTCCGGTGTCCAGGAAGAATCAGGTTACATAGACTTAAAGGATGGTGAATGCAGGGATTTTATTGAGTGATGGAGGTGGCCCTCAGCAGACAGGGGATGGAGTGGGAAAATATTCTTCCCTGGAGTTTGGCCCTCCCACAACTGATCTCTCCGACTGTCCCCAGCTGAACTCCTCTCAACATTTAGTTGCTTCTTCTCTTCTCTTCTCTCCTCTTCTCTTCTCTTCTGCATGGCCCTGCTGCTCTACCAGTGGATCTTGGGTTTATATGGGCACAGGATAGGGGTGTGACAGGTGAGAGTGGTCTCTGAAAAGGCAACATTTGGGCGTGAAAACAGGAATGCCTGTTCCCATTTAGGGCTGCAGGTTTCCAGGCTTGAGGGTGGAACTTTTGCTGGGGAACTGCTCTCTTCTACCCAGTATTTCCCTGCCTCCTGTCTGTATTAAAGCCATCCTCCCACCTCAGCCTCCCAAGTAGGTGGGATCACAGGCATGAGACACCATGTCCAGCTAAATTTTTTTTTTTCTTTTGAGATCGAGTCTCTCTCTGTCACCCAGGCTGGAGTGCAGGGGCATGATCTTGGCTCACTGCAACCTCTGTCTCCTGGGTTCAAACAATTCTCCTGCCTCAGCCTCCCAAAGTAGCTGGGACTGCAGGCATGCACCACCATGCCCAGTTAATTTTTATATTTTCAGTAGAAGTGGGGTTTCGCCATGTTGGCCAGGCTGGTCTGGAACTCCTGGACTCAAGTGATCCTCCTGCCTTGGCCTTCAAAGTGCTGAGATTAGAGGCATGAGCCACTGCACCTGGCTCACAAGTCTTTTTGCGCTACTAGAACTGGTCTTAAACCAGATGAACAAGATGATACTTTTATGATCTTTCCCCTTCACACTGCCATTTCATTCACTCATTTATTCATATACCCATTCATTCATGCATTTAGGCCAGACACTGGGTGAGATGTTGAATATACTCTCAAAGACGCATAGGCCAGTGGAAGAAATGGACAGTTAATCTAATGATTACAGCACAGTGAAGCAAGGGCTTTGAAGGGTGTATTGTGTGGAGGTTACTTGATGGCAGAGAAGGGGTGTGCAACAGGCTGAGAATTTTTGGTAAGGCTCCCAGGGGAGGTGAGATTTGAAGAACGAATAGTCTCTGGCTCAGAAATCCCTTGTCAGAGATGTATGTGCAAAGGCTGATCTTTGCACCAGACTTTATTTGAATGGCTCCACTTCCTGTTAGTGTTTCTTTGAACAACCACAAAAACAATAGTTTACTATTCCCAGAATTGTGTTTAGTGCCTTGCATACATTATCTTACTTAAGTGTCACAACAGCCTCATGGTCTAGGTTCTGTTAGTGGTCCCAGTTTACACACAAAGAGCAGTGAAAGGGTAAGGCATGGGCGTCTTCCTATGCTCATGGAGTTGGGGTAAGGAGAGGATTTGAGATGAGGATACAGGTAGTCTGCTTCAAGAAACGACTCTCTTTTTTTTTTGAGATGGAGTCTTGCTCTGTCACCCAGGCTGGAGTGCAGCAGCACAATCTTGGCTCACTGCAACTTCTACCTCCTGAGTTCAAGCAATCCTCCTGCCTCAGCCTCCCAAAGTGCTGGAATTGCAGGCATGAGCCACCACACCTGGCCTAAATGGCATAAGATTATTAAATAAAATGTTTTTTAAAAGATGGAGGAAAGGTACCTCTCATAAGTTCTTCCTGCTAACAAGACTGCATCTGCCACTTACTAGCTGGGTGATCTGGGCAAAATACATATCCTTCTATCATTTATAAAAACAATAACAATACCTAGCCCATAGGGTTGTCATGAGAAATAAATAAACTAATATTTTTGAAAGTGCTTAGGCTAGCACCAGGAACATAGTAAGTCTCGCTAAATTAAAAACAAAAAACAAAACCCAAAACACACACACACACAATTTCTGATATAGGGTAGGTGACATTCGAGCTGAGACTTGAAGAAATTTAATTTGCAGAAAAGGTGGGAAGGCATTCCAATTTCTAATTGGAAAAACAGCACTTGCAAACATATGGAGGCATAACAATAACAATAATAATAATATCTATTGAATATGGACAATGCACCAGACCTTTTATATGCTGTGCCTAATTTAACCTTATCAGCAACTCTGCAATGTAGGTTTTATTATCATATAATATAGATAAGGATGGTACAGGTGAGGAAGCTCAAGGACAGAAGTTAGGGTGGGTATTATTAGCTCTATAATATAGTTTAGAAAATTGGGAGGTAAAATGGTAAGAGGCAGAAATGGGCATACAGTTCCAAGTCCGGCTACAGATTTTGCTTGTGCTTGGAGATTTCAATTTCTCTTGGGTGTTGGGTGTAGGAGTCAAATTAGCAGAAAATAAGATAGACAGTGGGCCAGGAGCCAAATCTGGAAGACTTTTCTGGATCATTTTAATTTTAAGGAATGTGGAGTTAATTCTTTAGATAATGAGGAGCTACTGAGGAATTTGGCCTCTGAGGGGCAAGAAAAGTTTTGCATTTTCAAACAATGGCAGTCTAGACTGCATAGTGAAGAAGGGATTTTTAAACAACAGGCTGGCTTGACCCAATAATTCCACTATTATTGGGAATACACCCAAGAGAAGTGAAAAGAGGTATTCAACAAAAATGTGTATGTGAATGTTCTTTCAGAGCAGCATTATTCATAATAGTCAAAAGGTGGAAGCACCCAAAATATTTATCAAATAATGAATAAACAAAATATAAGATAGCCATACAATGGAATATTATTTGACCAGAAAAAGCAAAGTTTTCTTTTTATTTTTTGTAGAGAATTACTGATACATACCACAGCATGGATGAACCTTGAAAACATTATGCTACATACAAGAAGCCAGTCACAAAAATCCTAATATTATATGATTCTATCTATATAAAATGTCCAGAATAGGCATATCTATAGAGATAGAAATTAGGTTTGTGATTGCCTAAGGCTAGAAAGCATAGGGTGTCAGGATCATAGGTAAGTGGTAAGTGATTTCTTTTTGAGGTGATGGAAATGTTCTAATATTGACAACTCTGTGAATATCTTAAAAACCATTGAATTGTATGTTTCAAATGGGTGAGTTGTATGTCAATTATATCTCAATAAAACTATTACCAAAAATAAATAAATAAAATAGGCTGAATACCAGCATTTAGGAGAGAAGGGTTGGTGGGGAGGAACTAACACTGTGAATGAGCCTACCAAATGACAGGCAAAGAATCAGGCGTTCACATGGCTTCTCGCATGTAGCTGAATTCCTACAACGTCCAATGCAATAAGTTTTTTTTTTTTTTTTTTTTTGACACAGGATCTCACTCCGTTGCCTAGGCTCGAGTGCAGTGGTGCGATCTCTGTTAACTGCAACCTCCGCCTCCCGGGTTCAAGCAATTCTCCTACTTCAGCCTCCCGAGTAGCTGGGATTACAGGTGCCTGGCACTGTGCCTGGCTAATTTTTGTAGTTTTAGTAAAGACATGGTTTCATCATGTTGGCTAGGCTGGTCTTGAACTCCATCTGTGATCAGTGATCCACAGTGATCCACCCACCTCGGCCTCCCAAAGTGCTGGGATTACAGGCATAAGCCACCTTGCCCAGCAGCAATAAGATTTTTTAAAATCTTCAGTTCATAAAAGTGTAAAACAGAGTTCATTGTAATTTCAAAATCTTTGCGCTTGGCATTTTCCAGAACACTCTGCTTCTATAAGGCTCCCTCTCAAGACAACTTATTTATTTAGCCCTCTCTTGGGTTCTTATTTATTGCTCATTTCTTATCCTATTCTAATTTCAATTGTCTCTCCAGGCTCTTTTCTAGGTCATTACCCTATTCAAATATTTTAATATATTCATTCAGACTTCCATATTTCTAGATAAAACCCTCTGATACTCTGCTAAAAGAGGTTTTGGTTTATTTTCATACAGCTTGCAAAATAACTTTCTATTGTCCTTTGTGAAAGTTGCCAGTACCTAAATGAAGTCACTTATGTAAAACACGAAAAAGATGGAGCCAGGAGGCCATAAAGGAAGGGCCCTCATGCACGTATACCTATGACAGAGATATCCAAAGAACTCCTCAAAACCACAACATTGCAAACAAGTTGCTGCACAAAGACATTTTCCTAACAATGGGTGTATCCATCAATAAGTTAATACCAACTCCTGCAACAAGCCCCTGTGACCAATGGTCTTTGAAAGCAAATTACCTGGATTTGTCTTTTTTTTTTTAAAAAAGCTTTCCTTTGCCCCAGTCTCTTTTGGTGGACCCATATGGCTCTGCCATGGCACAAGTATCATGAATTGCAATTCCTTGCAATAAACTCTTTGTTTTGGAGAGCCCGTCTCTCTGTTATTGTAGTTGAGACCTAAGTATGAATAGGTCCAGCATTCTTTGATCACACTTCTTTCCTTCCAGACTCTGCGTGCCATTCATGGTGAAATAATTACAATACAGTGTTAACAGGTAATAGGAATTATACCTGATTTTCCCTCCCCTTACTATGCTCTAAGCTCTTTACATATATTATCTCGCAGAGGAACTCAAAAATATTTGTGGGATGAATGTTACGTTTGAAGAAGTGGAGGGTGAATCGGGGAAGACTTTATGTAGGAGGACATATTTGAGCTGAGTCACTGAGAACTGGTAAAAGTTTAATGCAGATAGTGGCAGAGAAGAGCACTGAGGACTAAGCAACACGTTAGAGAGGAACTGAGGTCAAGATCATTGATATTAAGATAAGCTTCAATTCAATTGCTGGCTGAGCCTCTCTCTAACCATGTGACCTCAGTAATTCCTTAACTCTTCTGGGCCTGAGTGCCCTCAACTATAGCATAGGATGGACAGAACATGTCTTTTAGAGGTATTGTAGAAAGAGCTTAGAAAACTGTTAAGTACAAAGTTCTAAGTGTACATTAAGCATTTTTCTTTGTTGTTTTTGTTTGTTTGTTTTCTTTTTGAGACTGAGTCTCGCTCTGTCGCCCAGGCTGGAGTGCAGTGGCGCGATCTTGGCTCACTGCAACCTCCATCTCCTGGGTTCAAACAATTCTCTCTCCTCAGCCTCCTGAGTAGCTGGGATTACAAGAGCTTGCCACCACGCCTGGCTAATTTTTGTATTTTTAGTAGAGGTGGGTTTTCACCACGTTGGCCAGGCTGGTCTTGAACCCCTGACTTCAGGCAATCTGCCCACCTCGGCCTCCCAAAGTGCTGGGATTACAGGCATGAGCCACCGCACCCAGCCCTGAACATTTTTCTTAAGCTTCACATGAGATTTTGTAGACCTCTCCTCCTGCTGGTGAGATGCTTTAGTGGGTAGTAAACACACGGCATGGGGAAATGCATCATTTTTAGTAGACAGAAAGCACTCAATAGTTGTAGCTACTATTACTATAGTTCATAGTGATTGTTTGGTTAGAATGAATGAAAGGGATCAGTGATGGTTTAGAGACAAGATAAGACAAAACAAAACAACAGCTGATTAGAGTGAAAGGTGCTTTGTGACATGTTAAGGGATTATGGCTTAATGCTTTAGGTCAGGATAAAAAACTCAAGGAGTCTTCAGCGGCCAGGATTAGATGATAAATGAATGAAACAAGCAGATTACTAGAAAATGGTGTTAAATTGACTGGACACACCTTGTGTACTTATTAATAAGTTGGAGTGGTCTTTACTCCTCAGAGAAATCTGTATTTTTCTTTTTTTTTAATACATTACCATTTCAAGTCTATCTTTTGCTGTCCCCATTTTAATGGAAATGTAGGTGTAAGATTATTTCACTTTCCTCTCAACTCTAAGAAAACAACTCCACAAAAGTGACGCTAGGCCGGGCATGGTGGCCCACGCCTGTAATCCCAGCACTTTGGGAGGCCGAGGCAGTGGATCACCTGAGGTCAGGAGTTCGAGACCAGCCTGGCTAACATGGTGAAACCCCATCTCTATTAAAAATATGAAAATTAGCTGGGTGTGGTGGTGGGCACCTGCAATTCCAGCTACTCTGGAGGCTGAGGCAGGAGAATCGCTTGAACCCAGGAGGCAGAGGTTGCAGTGAGCCGAAATTGCGCCATTGCACTCCAGCCTGGGCAACAAGAGGGAAACTCTATCTCAAAATAAAACAAAAAAAAGTGACGCTAAATGTCAACTGACACTCAGTTGGACAGTGGCTGGACAGTAGGACATGATGGGGATGTCCTAAACTGGAGAAACAGGTCCCATCTAAAAAGGCAGGTCTGGGTCGGGCACGGTGGCTCGTGCTTGTAATCTTGTTAGGTTGGTGCGAAAGTAATCATGGTTTTTGCCATTAAAAATAATTATTTATTGTGAGGCTGAGGCAGGGGATTGCTTGAGGCTGGGAGTTCAAGACCGACCTGGCCAACATAGCAAGACCCTGTCTTTATATTAAAAAAAAGTACAATTAAAAAAAAAAAAAGGCAGCTCTGGCCAACTGTGGCCTTGTGGGAATACAGGCCTAATATTGTCAGATTTTCAGTTTCTAAAGAAAAAAATATGGACTTGTGTGTGAGTGATGTGTCAAGATTTTTAAACAGGCCAGGTGTATTGGCTCACACCTATAATCCAAGCACTTTGGGAGGCTGAGGCGGGAGGATCACTTAAGCCCAGGAGTACAAGACCACCCTGGGCAACATGTGGAAACCCTGTCTCCTCAAAAAAATTTAAAAAAGATTGCTGCATATGGTGGTGCACACTAATAGACCCAGCTACTTGGGAGCACTGGGATCTCAAGTAGGAGGATCTCTTGAGCCTAGGAGGTCGAGGCTGCAGTGAGCGGTGATCGTGCCACTGCACTCCAGTCTGGACGATAGAGTAAGACCCTGTTTAAAAACAAAACAAAACAAAACAAAAGGCTGGGCATGGTGGCTCATACCTGTAATCTCAGTACTTTGGAAGGCTGAAGTGGGCGGATCACCTGAGGTCAGGAGTTCAAGACCAGCTTGGCCAACATGCGAAACCCCATCTCTACTAAAAATACAAAAATTAGCTAGGCATGGTGGTGCACACCTGTAATCGCAGCTACTTGGAAGGATGAGTCAGGAGCATCACTTGAACCTGGGAGGCGAAGGATTGCAGTGAGTTGACATCGAGCCACTGCACTCCCACCTGGTTGACAGAGGGAGACTCCATCTCAAAAAAAAAAAAAGAAAAGAAAAACAAGATTTTTAAACATTGGCCAGAAATTAGTTCTCTTTTTTTCTTTTCTGTAGAGACGAAGTCTTGCTATGTTGCCTAGCCTGGTTTTGAACTCTTGGCCTCAAGTGATCCTTCCATCTCTGCCCCACAAAGTGGTAGGATTACAGGCATGAGCTATCATGACTAGCCTCATTTTCTTTTTAAACTAATCATTGTGGAGGCAAAGCAAGATGTGTCTGTGGTCCACATTTGACCCAAGGGCCACCAGTTTGCAACCTTGGTGCAGGGGAGGAAAGTCACTGAAGCCACTTGAGGGTTAAGTCACAGGAGCAGATTTACATCTCTGAAAAAGCACTTACAGTGAAAGTGTAGACTGTATTAGAATTTAAAATGTATTTCTTTTTTTCTTTCTTTCTTTTTTTTTTTTTGTCTGAAGGAACATCCAACATTCCTTTAAACTACTCAAATTTCAGAATTCCCAACATTACTTTGGTTTTTAAAATTTTAATCTGAGGTGACATGGTCAATACTTGTGATTCCAGGAAGAAGGAGAATGAGGAATCAAGCATGACCCCAAGGTTTCTGCTCTGAGTGGTGCCATTAACGAAATCAAAGAACGTGGAAGGGAGAAGTTTATGAGTAGGCTGAAAAGCCTTTTGTGAACACCACTGCCAGCCGAGTGCGGTGGCTCATGCCTGTAATCCCAGCACTTTGGGAGGCCGAGGCAGGCGGATTGCCTGAGCTCAGGAGTTCAAGACCAGCCTGGGCAACATGATGAAACCCTGTCTCTACTAAAATACAAAAAAAATTAGCCAGTCATGGTGGCAGGTGCCTGTAGTCTCAGCTACTCGGGAGGCTGAGATAGGAGTATCTCTTGAACCCAGGAGGTGGAGGTTGCAGTGAGCTGAGATTGTGCCATTGCACTCCAGCTTGGGTGACAGAGCGAGACTCCATCTCTAAATAAATAAATAAATAAATAAATAAATAAATAAATAAACACCACTGCCAGTGTGGTGTCCAAGAGCAGTCCCTTGGAAGACAGAATGGGGAAGCAGATCCCAGATGGTACTACCTCAGAAGTGGAAAGTTTAAAACCTAAGCTTTTCTGCACTGGGGGATCAAGAAGGACTTCCCAGAAGAGGGGCTACCTAAATTCAGCACTGATGTGTGAATCAGAGGCTCAGAGGGCATTCAGTGTGGCTGTTTCTTCATTAACTCAGGAAGAGTCCACAGAGGCAGACCTGTACCCACCCCTCACTTGCTCCTACTCCTTCGTTCCCTGTGTAGTCTGAATTCACTCACCTTTCGGTCTTGCCTGTCTTTCCTGTCTTACTCTAATTGGGACTCAACATTCCTTAAGCAACTCGGAATCTTCTTAGGAAGCCCCAGGCCCCCACAATACAACCTCGCATTAAATCTGGGGAGGGCCTGGGAAAATTCAATCCTATAGGAATTGTGTTAATCTGTTAGGGCTGCTGTAACACAGTATCACAGACTGGGTGGCTTCAACAACAGAAATATATTTCCTCACAGTTCTGAAGTCTGGAAGTCCAAGATTAAGACATCACCAGGGTTGATTTCTGAGGCCTCTTGTCTTGGCTTGTAGGTGGCCATCTTCTCCCCCTGCCTTTACATGGTCTTCTCTCTGTATGTCTGTGTCCTAGTCGCCTCTTCTTATAAGGACACCGGTCAGAATGTTAGGGCCCACCCTGGCGATCTCTGTATTTGTCACCTCTCATGCTGCTAATAAAGACATACCTGAGACTGGGTAATTTATAAAGAAAAAGAGGTTTAATGGACTCACAATTCCACATGGCTGGGGAGCCCTCACAATCATGGTGGAAGGCCAAGGATGAGAAAGGCATGTCTTACATGGCGGCAGGCAAGATAGACCATGTAGAGGGGAACTCCCCTTTGTAAAACCATCAGATCTTGTGAGATTTATTCACTATCATGAGAACAGTATGGGAAAGTCCTGCCCCCATGATTCAATTACCTCCCACCGGGTCCTTCCCACAACATGGGAACTGTGGGAGCTACAATTCAAGATGAGATGTGGGTGGGGACACAGCCAAATCATTTCAACCTCATTTTACCTTAGTTACCTCTTTAAAAGCCTTATCTTCAAATAGTCACATTCTGAGGTAATGGGGGTTAGGATTTAAATATATGAATTTTGGGGGGATATAATTCCAGCCACAACAGGAGCCTCATAGGGTAACACTTGATTAAATGAGTCCCCCAGTTGCTCTTTTCTCAATTCGGAATTTGCCAGCCAAATATAATTTTTCTTTTTCCAAGCCTCCCTGATATTGTGAAGTTTTTGGATCTACCCTTGCTCTAACAGGTCTTAGAAGATCATGACCTCACAGAGCATTCCCCTCCCTTGATGGCTGGACAAGGTGGACCACTTCCCTCCCACCTGTAAGTCACTCAGGAGCAATGACATCTTTCAGCATGGTGAGCTCAGCCTATTACAGTCAGGGACATGAAAAGTATAAGCCCTAAAGAACAGTGACTTTGTTTTGTTTCTATTCTGAGGTGTTTTGAAATAATTCTGGGAATAACTAGCAATCCTTTCTTGCAACGTGGCAGAATGAAGAAGCACATGAATGACCACGACCTCCTAAAATTTTTCTCTGGCTTTAAAAATCACCCATATTTTACCCATGTAATTCACTGATGTTTAAGGACACAGGCCCTTTCTTTGAATGACTGTAAAACAAAATGATTTTGGTAGAAATGAGAGCAGACTTATCAAGTACTATGGCCTTCTGGTTTGGACTAACTGCCATCTAGCACTGCAAATGAAGCATCAGTTTACTGGGTACTCACTGCAGAGGGGCATTATGCTAAGCAGCTTGCATTCATTATGTCTTTTAATTCTCACAACCACCTTGCTGCATTATTTTCATTTTACAGATGAGGAAATTGATGTTCAAAGAAGTGGGTGACTCACCCAAAGACACAACCCAGTGAAATGTGAAATGCAGGATTCTAACTCAAGCCCATTTCAATTAAAACACTGTTTTGTTTCTTCCATGACAACCTGCACATTAAGTCTGTATTCTTTATCTCCTTATTTACTCATTTAATGTTCACAGAGCATCGCCAAGTATGGAAAACTGTTCTAGGTATTGGTTATTTGGAGATAAAGCATTTTATCTGCTGCATCTGGGTAATGTGATACTAAGTAAATCAAGACTAGTAGTTGCCAAAATTTTATTGTGCACTCCTTTAAGTTAAAAAAAAATATTGTGGGCTGGGCATGGTGGCTCACGCCTGTAATCCCAGCACTTTGGGAGGCCAAGGTGGACAGATTGCTTGAGTCCAGACGTTTGAGACCAGCCTGGACAACATGGTGAAACCTCGTCTCTATTAAAAATAGAAAAATTAGCCAAGTGTGGTGGCACGTGTCTGTACTCTCAGCTGTTTTCGAGGCTGAGGGGAGAGGATTGCTTGAGCCCAGGAAGTCAAGGCTGCAGTGAGCTAAGATCGTACCACTGTACTCCGGCCTCGGTGACAAAATGACACCCTATCTCAGAAAAATTTTTTTTAAAATATTGTGAGCATGGATCCCTGTATATGTCTCTCTCTCTCTCTCTCTTTTTGTTTTTTTGAGATGGAGTCTCGTTCTGTTGCCGGGCTGGAGTGCAGTGGCATGATCTCGGCTCACTGAAACGTCTGCCTCCCGGGTTCAAATGATTCTCCTGCTCAGCCTCCCGAGTAGATGGGATTACAGATGCCTGACACCATGCTTAGCTAATTTTTGTATTTTAGGTAGAGATGGGGTTTCGCCATGTTGGCCTGGTTGGTCTTGAACTCCTGACCTTGTGATTTGCCTGCCTCGGCCTCCCAAAGTGCTGGGATTACAGGCATAAGCCACTGCACCTGGCCATATGTCTCTTTTTTGAGGGTTATATACATAATACATATTATGTTCATTTTATAAAAAATTTAAAAGTCAAAATTAATAGCAATGAGGAAATATACAAATTACAGTATTTTTTGTTTATTTGTTTGTTTGTTTTTTGAGACAGAGTCTTACTCTGCCACCCAGGCTGGAGTGCAGTGGCACAATCTCGGCTCACTGCAATCTCCACCTCCTGGGTTCAAGCGATTCTCCTGCCTCAGCCTCCCGAGTAGCTGGGACTATAGGTGTGCATCACCACGCCT
Organism: Homo sapiens; assembly: GCF_000001405.40. Taxonomy (NCBI): domain Eukaryota; kingdom Metazoa; phylum Chordata; class Mammalia; order Primates; family Hominidae; genus Homo; species Homo sapiens. The sequence goes on from NC_000004.12 coordinate 110,231,674, forward strand.
GGCTAATTTTTGTGTTTTTTAGCAGAGATGGGGTTTTGCCATGTTGGCCAAACTGATCTCCAACTGACCTCAGGTAATCTGCCCACCTCGGCTCCCCAAACTGCTAGGATTACAGGCGTGAGCCACCAAGCCTGACCTAAATTACAGTTTTTAAATTAAAGTTTTAAGAATCTCTTCATGGACACCAAACAGGTATTGCATACCGCACTTTGGAGATCATTTGGAGAATAGCAAGCCCATAATATTTCTACTTTACTTTTGAGGAATTCACATTCCAGTTGATATTTACTCTTTTGTTGGTACATGTTACATACAGAGGCATCTAGGGTTGCCTGGGATATCAGGAAAAACTACGAAACAGGTGATGTTTGCATTGAGTCTCAAAGAATGAGTCAGAGTGGTGTCAAGTGGAAAAGAGGAAGTTCATTTCATGCAGAAAGAATAGCATGTAGAAAATCATGGAGTTGTGAAGGCCTCTTGGGTAGGAGATTAATAAAAAATTTAGTGCATGACTAGAACACTGGGTGTGGGGGACACACAGCTGGTGAGGCGGTTTGTGCTCAGATAGTGCCATGCTAAGGTCGTGAACATTATACTTTTGGTAACAGGGAAACTTTGAAAGTAAGCTGAGCCTCAAAGCCTCAGCAACATAGTGAGACCCCATCTCTACAAAAATTTAAAAAATTAGCCAGGCCTGGTGGCACATGCCTGTAGTCTCAGCTACTTGGGAGGCTGAGGTGGGAGAATCACTGGAGCCCAGGAGGTTGAGGCTGCAGTGAGTTGTGATTGCACCACTGCACTGCAGCCTGGGCAACAGAGAGAGATTCTGTCTCAAAAAAGAAAGAAAGAAAAAAAGAAAGGAAGGAAGAAAAGAAGGAAGGAAGGAAGGGAGGGAGGGAGGGAGGGAGGGAAAGAAGGATGGAAGGAAGGAAGAAAGAAAGGAAGGAAGGAAGAAAGAGGAGAGAGTTGGGATGCTATGGCCACGGCGAAATGGTAAAGGAATGAACTAATTCAGTGGCAAGGGTGTGTGAGGAGAAAATGGACTCATGATCTGTAACTGATAGCTTAGATAGAAAGGATTTTATTGTTGAATAGGTGTGGGTATGAGGAAGAGGGAGAAATGGAGGAAGAATCCAGGATTTCTCCTTCAGGAATGGAGGAGGGAGTGACTCCCGTGGCTGAGATGGGATTCTGTTGGAGAACCAGGTTTTGGGGAGCAGGTGGTAGAGTGAAAGAAGCACAACTCCTGGAACCAGAGCTATCTAGGTTTAAATCCCTGCTGCATCACTCTCTGCCAAGAGTGATCTTAAGCAATGTTCTCTCACCTACACTTTTCTCACTCATACAGCTGGGCTAACATTGATTTTGTAAGGTTGGAGAAGATTAAATGAGATTTTTATTGATATGCTCTTCCATCCACCTGTACCTTGCATCAAGTATTGCCTACCCAGGGCACTAGAGTGACATAGGAGAGTCAAGGATGATTTAGCCTACTAAAATTAGCAGATTACTGATTTCCATGTTTTGTACATAAAATAACAGTACAGATGACCTTGTTTCCATGTTTTGTACATAAAATAACAGTCCCAAACAAGCTTCAGCCCAGGGGAAGCAAAACATCAGGAGAGGAGAATAAGATAATAAGAGACTAAGAGAAAGAGCAGTCCCCTAACCATCTTTTGCTTTTGCTCCCCAGCCCAATGGGTGAAACAATTTCAGTGTTGGCCAATAACCATCAAAAGATTAGAACCTGGGAAGAGAGATGCTCAGAGTTTTGCTTGGGGACAGGTGGGGGGTTAAAAGCAGGGAGTGATAGGGACCAGATTATAAAACCCAAAGCTCTCCCTTCCCCTTCAATCATCCCCCTACATGAACTGCAGGCTTACCAGTCTATGTGTATGTGTATGTGTATGTGTACGTATGTGTGTATGCATGCGTATGCACGTGTGTATGTGTATGTGTGTATGTATGTGTATGCACGTGTGTATGTGTGTATGTATGTGTATGCACGTGTGTGTGTGTATGTATGTGTATGCATGTGTGTATGTATGTGTATGCACGTGTGTGTGTATGTGTGTGTATGTATGTGTATGCACGTGTGTATGTGTGTGTATGTATGTGTATGCACGTGTGTATGTGTGTATGTATGTGTATGCACGTGTGTATGTGTGTATGTATGTGTATGTGTGTATGTGTATGTATATGTGTCTGTATGTGTATGTGTGTGTGTCTGTGTGTGTATGTGTCTGCGTGTGTATGCGTATGTGTGTATGTGTATAAGTGTATATGTGTATGTGTATATGTGTATGTGTATGTGTGTAGATGTGTATGCATGTGTATATGTGTGTGTATGTGTGTATGTTTATGCATGTGTATGTGTGTATGTTGTGCATGTGTGTGTATATATGTATATGTGTGTATGTGTGTGTATGTGTATATGTGTATGTTTATGTGCGTGTATGTTGTGCATGTGTATGTGTGTATATATGTGTATGTGTGTATATATGTGTATGTGTGTATGTTTATGTGCGTGTGTGTGTATGTTGTGCATGTGTATGTGTGTATGTGTGTGTCTGTGCGTGTGTGTGTGTGTGTGTGTGTATGAAAGGATACTGGCTGAGATCTGGGGATGTGATGAGCCCAAAGGAATAGGAGAAAAATGAGATATTTGAGGACTACAAGTACTATGAGAGAAAGACCATAAACTGAACAATTTATATGCTAGAAAACAGAATTAATTTGCCAAATAGAACAAGAAATTAAAATAAGGATAATAATATGAAAGAGATAAATAAATAGAATAGAAGCATGAAGCAGCAGTAGCCAGGCATGGTAGCCCATGTCTATAGCCCCAGCTACTTTGGAAGCTAAGTTGGAGATCACTTCAGCCTGGGAGGTCAAAGCTGCCATGAGCTATGATTGTGCCTAGGAATATAGCCACTGTACTCTAGCCTGGGCAACATAGTGAGACCCTGCCTTTAAAAAATTAAAAAAAGAAAAAAGAAACATGAAGCAGCAACCAACAGCTACAAAAGAAGGTAGGAAATATTGAGTATGGACAATATACAGGGTGAAATTTAAGAAACTTAACAGATGGATTGAATGGCATAATGGACATACATTATGGTACAACCACTTTTTTATTCTATTACAATAAGTTTTCATAAACAATTATCTTAAATGACTAGCACAAATTTTATCACATGGCTATACAAATGTTCATATAACCATTTTTTTTTTTTTTTTTGGAAATGGAGTCTCCCTCTCTCTCCCAGGCTGGAGTGCAGTGGTGCGATCTTGGCTCACTGCAGCCTCTACCTCCTGGGTTTGGCTAATTTTTTTTTTTTTTTTGTATTTTTAGTAGAGATGAGGTTTCACCATGTTGGCCAGGCTGGTCTCAAACTCCTGGCCTCAGGTGATCCGCCCGCTTCGGCCTCCCAAAGTGCTGGGATTACAGGCATAAGCCACCGCACCTGGCCACCATTTTTTACTTATTACTTTGTATTTAGACAAGTACTATTTCCTGTTTGGAATGGGCTTAGTGTTATATAACACCTAAAATAAGATCCATGCTAAAACTGTGGTCACTGTCAAGAAAAGTATAAGATCTTTTACATTGTGCACATGCCCCTGGGTACCTCTCTCCCTCCCATGACATCTGCTTTTACCCATGTGATCAAGACTGGAATCAGGATCTCTCATTTGGTTCCTATGCTGTATGAGCCTCTTATATCCCCAGTGTCCTGCTGATGGATGCTCCGTAGGCTCTTCAAATTCCACACGGCAAAAATTGAACTCATTCTCTTCCTGCCCAATTCTGCCTACCTGAGACTCTTTCTAGCCCTTCCAGTTCATGTTTCCAAGGCTTTCTAGCCAGAAATCTGCCATTCATCCTAAATATCTCCTTTTCTTTTACCGCATCCATCCAAATGTACATCCCTTTACTTCTGCCTCTTTTTCCATTTTCATTGTTGCCACCTTGAATCAGGTGAGAAAGCTCAGGTTCAGAGAGGTAAGTTACTGCCCATGGCTCAACTTTTTGGAAGTGGGTAAAACTGAGAATGCTCCCAGCTTCAAAGCTCAAGTTCTCTCCTTTCCATCAAACTGGGCTTCTAGGCAATCACCTCTTGATCTCGAAAGGTTGTCCTTTCTCTGACCTCGTTTTTTTTTTTTTTTTTTTTCTGAGACAAAGTATTGCTCTGTTGCCCAGGCTGGAGTGCAGTGGCGAGATCTCAGCTCACTGCAACCTCTACCTCCCAGGTTAGGTGATTCTCCTGCCTCAGCCTCCCAGGTAGCTGGGATTACAGGCACCTGCCACCATATTGGACTAATTTTTATATTTTTAGTAGAGACGGGGTTTCGCCATGTTGGCCAGGCTGGTTTCAAACTCCTGACCTCAGGTGATCTGCCCACCTTGGCCTCCCAAAGTGCTGGAATTACAGGCGTGAGCCAACACGCCCAGCCCTCTCTGACCTTAAGCTTATATTTTGTGGTTTGTTTACTTTTGGATCTGAAATCATTTGGCTATTGATTGTAAGGACTAGAGTGATCAAGTCCTCAAACTTGCCATCAACATTATTGGATTCTAAATTGACTTTTAAATTCTGCACCGTACTAGTTGATTTGTAATAATGCAGGACAAACTATGGGAGAATGATTTCCCCTGGTACCCTATGGCAACATGTCAGTGGAGTTGGATGCTCTGATATTTCAGTTACTTCTATTAGTTTCCTGTGGCTGCTGTACCAAATGACCATAAACTTGGTGAGCTTAAGAAGAACAAATAGTGAATTTATGATCTCACAGATCTACAGGTCAGAAGTCCAAGATCAGTATCACTGGGCCATAATCAAGGTGTTGGCAGGGCTTCACTGTCTCCGGAGGTTGTAGGGGACAATCTGTCCATTGGTTCCTCCAGCTTCTGGTGGTTGCTGACATTCCCTGGCTTATGGCCACATCACTCCAGGCATCAAGGCCAGCACCTTCAAATTTCTCTCTGCTCTGTCTTCTTAACACCTTCCCTTCTCTGTGTCTGTGTTAAATCTCCCTCTGCCTCCCTGTTGTAAGGATACATATGATTGCATTTAGATTCCACTCAGATAAACCAAGGTAATCTCTCTATCTCTCAATCCTTAATTAAAGGACCTTAATCTAACATAAAATTTACAGGCTCTATGGAGGAAGATCTGATATCTTTGGGTGGCCATTATTCAGCCTACTGAAGTACTTTACTTAGTATTTGCAGAGTTTTCAAATTGTATGTGATGCAAGCCACAGGGCCCTTCTTCCTGGACATTTTTTTTTTTTTCATGAGAGACAATGAATAAACTTGGGGGAAGCACAGGTTTTCAAATACGTTCCTTTAAGATCAAATAAGCCCTACACATGTCAGAATCCTTTTCTTCCTTCCTTGGAATACCAAACAGTTGGAAATTTGGCATTGTGTATCTGTAGCTTATGAATAGATGGAAACTGTATGCTCAGTCAATTTAACTGATATTGCAAGTTGCCAGGTAACACTACTTGCATTTCCCCTGCCTTCAACAGAATAGATTTGCTTAAAATAGTTATTTCCCAAAGGGGTGTATCTTGCATCCTGTTTTTCTGGCAATGTGTAATTTTGGAATACACAGATACAATTGATTAGGACAGTGACACAATGTCTGTGATAGATACTGAAGAATGGCCCATTCAGTTCTGTTCCACTCTCCTTCCAGAGTTATTATATAAACTTTGGGCTGGAAAGGTGAGAACTACGTTGACCTGTCTATCTAGAACCTGGATGCAAATTAGGTTCTGTCTATTAGATGCAGTCATGATGCATTTGGAAGGAGCAAGGCAGCTGGAGGCCATCTTCCTGCCCTTTTTGGCTCTTTTCTTATAGCTAGCAGATTTTTCTGCAGCAGCTTCTTATTGTCTATTCTTCTGCTTTGTGGGTATTGACACACAGTTGTGGCAGAGGCACCAGCAGTAGTGGCAGTGATTTGATTCTAGCATCCTCATTTCTGTATCATAGCTGTAGTGTTATGCTTTTGACTTGCTCCAGTGGTAGCCTCAGAGATAGCTCAGAGTTAGTAGATCCATTCTATAATATTCCAGGAATCATTCTTAAAGACTCAGCCTAGAGCCCTTTGCACAAGTCATTCCAAAAATTTTCTTAAGACCCAATTCTTTGTATTCAATTTCTTTCTGCTTAAAATATCTACAGTGATTTGGGTGGATGTTTTCCTGAATACTGACTGACACACTGTCAAGGGATGTGGAGGTACAAGAGGTCAATGCTTCAATTCTATTTCAATATTCTATAAACTTAGGTCCTAATTTTTAGGAAACGTATTTCATTATTTTCCATAATACCTTCCCTGTTTTCTTGCCATTTGCAAAACCTTAAATAAAATATAAGATGAGGCCAGGTGTAGTGGCTCACATCTGTAATCCCAGCACTTTTGAAAGCCAAGGGAGGAGGATTGCTTGAGTCCAGGAGTTTGAGACCAGCCTAGGCAACAAAGTGAGATCCCGTCTCTACAGAAAAATTAAAATAAATAAATAAATAAATAATATAAAATATAAGATGTACTTAATTTGTAACTTCCCCCAAAACAAAAACTTTGATTTTTCCTCTCCATAACATATAGTAAAACAATTCTCAAGAAAAGGAAAAACACATTATTAAGAAGAAGCTATGCATTATGGTTATTATATATTGTGGGTGATATTATGTATTAGCTAAAGCTAGGCCAATGTAAGTGAAGTCAACATTAAGCTTACAGCTGAGATGACTTGTTTATTAATTTGACTTAAAGCAGCATTAAGGCTGGTTGTGGTGGCTCATGCCTATAATCCCAACACTTTGGGAGGCCAAGGTGGGTGGACTGCTTGAGCCCAGGAGTTTGAGACCAGCCTGGGCAACATGTCAAGACCCTATCTCTACAAAAAATAAAAAAATTAGCCATGCATGGTGGCATGCACTTGTGGTCCCAGCTCCTTGGGAGGCTGAGGCAGTAGGATAGCTTGAGCCCGGGAAGCTGAGACTGTAGTGAGCTGTGTTTGTGCCACTGCACTCCAGCCTGGGAAAAAGAGTAAGACCATATCTCAAAAGAAAGAAAGAAAGAAATAAAGCAGTATCATCCAATGTTTGAAATAGCAACTGTCGGCTTTAATTATATACATTTACTGAAAAAAAGTTGCAGTTTTCTGGTTCTAGGATACAGTGGACCAGTTGCTAAATATTAGAAATATTCTATAGCAGTTTGAAATCTGTCCTTAATTAGTATTGGTTTGGAAGGTACAGAGTAATTTGAGGGTCTCAAGGAAATATTCTCTATCAAAAATGATCTTTGCCAGGTGTGGTGGCTCATGCCTGTAATTCCAGCACTTTGGGAGGCTGAGATGGGTGGATCACGAGGTCAGGAGATTGAGGCCATCCTGTCTAACACGGTGAAATCCCATCTCTATTAAAAATATGAAAAATTAGCCAGGCGTAGTGGCACGTGCCTGTAGTCCCAGTTACTTGGGAGTCTGAGGCAGGAGAATTGCTTGAACCTGGGAGGCAGAGGCTGCAGTTAGCCAAGATTGCGCTACTGGACTCTCGTCTGGGCAACAGAGTGAGACTTCGTCTCAAAAAAAAAAAAAAAAAAAAAGATCTTCATTAAAATTGACCAAAAAAAGTCACCATTAATTACTTTATGCTAAACTTTACTCTTTAGGTATATCTTGGAGTATGGGGCAGGGTGGGGTGGTGGTGGACAATCTTATGCAGATTTATGTTGAAATGCTAGCAATCGTTCAGTTTATATTAGACTGGGCTTGGAACTAATAACTAATATGAAATTGGCATATGGTTGAACATAAAGTTAAGTGAAAAGCTAGCTAGCCGTCAGTAGAGGGCAAGGGTTCTAGAGGCAGGTAAGCATCTTAAGTAGTAGTGTGTGCTAAAACTAAAGTTTAAATTTAGACAGTGAGTTTCTAAAGCACTGAGGGCTTGACAGATTCAGTATTGAAGGCAATACTTCCAGAATTGTGTGAGACATTTTCAGCCAATGAATGAACAACATCCCACCATTCTTTTTTTTTTTTTTTTTTTTCTGAGACAGAGTCTCACTCTGTTGCCCAGGTTGGAGTGCAGTGGCGGGGATCTCAGCTCACTGCAAGCTCCGCCTCCCGGGTTCACGCCATTCTCCTGCCTCAGCCTCCCAAGTAGCTGGGACTACAGGCGCCCGCCACCACACCCGGCTAATTTTTGTGTTTTTAGTAGAGATGGGGTTTCACCATGTTAGCCAGGACGGTCTCCATCTCCTGACCTTGTGATCTGCCTGCCTCGGCCTCCCAAAGTGCTGGGATTACAGGCGTGAGCCACCGTGCCCGGCCTCATCCCATCATTCTTTTCTATATGTATGGATTTCATGTTGATCAATCTTCAGTTCTTCTAAACTGAATCTTCAATTTTTCTAAATTTAGCAGTCTCAGGAACCACCACCAATAGCTGGGAGTAAGGGGTTATGGCAGTAACTGTTGATTATCTACAAAACAGCCATTGTTATTCCTTTCTTCCTTATTAAACAGCCTACTTCTCATGACAGAGGATGAAAACACTCACAATGCTGATGCTTTCCTCAATTTCTTATTCAAAGGCATGAGCTTGGGTCCTGCCAGGGTACTTCTTGGAAAGTATTGAATGAAACACCTGGACACAGGTATATCTACAGGTGATGCTTTCTGAAGTGTTACAGCCATAATATGGCTAGGAAGGGACAAGCCTGCGGACCAAGCTAATTTGATGTTAGTTTGAATAGATAGATTAGGAAGAGAAAAAGTTTCTAGTCTTTATTGACTGTTGAGCCATTGCATCAATACTGGGACTGCTTTCCTCTGTTGTTCCTTTCTATCATTTTGTGAGAAAAATGAACAAATTATAAATATCTGAGTGTATATAAATTTTTTCCCTCAGTTTCTTAAAATATATTTTACTACTTAAACCACAAACTATAACATTTTTATGTGGGGCTTATAATAAATGCAGATATAAACTTATGACAATTATAGAATGAAGGATGGGGGTGGTAAATGGATCTACACGGTGTAAGGTTTCTACATTTTACATGAAGTGGATATTAACTCTAGGTAGAGTGCAAAAAGTTAAAGATGTATATTTCAATCTTTACCATAACCACTAAAAATTAATGCAAAGAGTTTATAAGCCCATAGATTTAAGTGAAATTCTAAAATATATTTCAATAATCTAAAAGAAGTCAGAAAACATGAAACAAAAAAAACAAAGAACAGAGGGGACAAACAGAAAACAATAAAGTGGTCGATCTAAACCCAATCATGTTTATAATTATATTAGATGTTAATAATCTAAACACTCCAATTAAAAAGCAGTGATTGGCTGTGTGCAGTGGCTCATGTCTGTAATTCCAGCACTTTGGGAAACTGAGGAGGGTGTAACGCTTGAGCTCAGGAGTTTGAGCCCAACCTGGGCAACAAGGTAAAACCCTGTCTCTATAAATAATACAAAAATTAGCTGGGCGTGGTGGCATGCACCTGTAATCCCTGCTACTCAGGAGGCTGAGGTGGGAGAATCACTTGAGCCTGGGAGGTTGAAGCTGCAGTGAGCTGAGATTGCACCACTGCACTCCAACCTGGGAGACAGAGTGAGACCCTGTCTCAAAACAAACAAACGAACAACCAAAAAAACGCTAAAAAAGAGAGCAGTGATTATCAAAATGAATTAAGAAGCAATACTCAGCTATATGCTGTTTACCACAGATGCACTGTAAATATAAAGACACAGACATGTTGGAAGTAAACGTATAGAAAAAGGTATATCATGCATGTAGTAAACATACAAAGGATGGACTGGCTATATCAATATCAACCATGATAGGCTTCAAGACAAAGTATTATTAGAGGTAAAGGAGATTTCATAATAATAAAAGGGTCAATTCATTAGGAAGGCATAATGATCATACATTTACAGCACCTAATAATAGATTTGATCACAAAATGAAGCCCAACTGAATGCTATATACAATAAAAACTCATACAACAAAGTAATTTAGAAATATTAAAAATAAATTTTTAGACTGGGTATGGTGTCTCATGCCTATAATCCCAGCACTTTGGGAGACCAAGGCAGGAGGATGGCTGGAGCCCAGGAGTTCAAGACCAGCCTGGGCAACATGGGGAAACCCTGTCTCTACAAAAAAGACAAAAAAAAAAAATTGGCCGGGCATGGTGGCATGCACCTGTAGTCCCAGCTACTTGAGAAGCTGATGTGGGAAGATTACCTGAGCCTGCGGAGGTGGAGGCTGCAGTGAGCCGTGATCACACCACTGCACTCCAGCCTGGGTGACAGAATGAGACCCTGTCTCAAAAAACAAAATCTTTAATTTATCTTTATTAATTATTAACTTTATTTATTAAAAATAAATTAAATGTTTAAAATTATGAGACAAATATGAACAAAAAGAGTAGAGGTTGTGATCTTAATATTGACAAGGTGTAGTTCAGATTGAGACAAGGAGTATACTTTGTAATGCTAAAGAGTTTAGTGAAGATATAGAAGTTATGAAGATCTACGCATATAATAAAATAGCCACAACATTCACTCAGCCAACATTATAGGAAAAGAAAGGAGAACTAGACAGAAATATGTTAATGATGGCATACTTTAATCTCTCTCAGTTCAAAATATAACAATTAAAAAATAAGTAATGATATAAAATACCTAAATACCATATCAATAAAGTAAATTTGATTGATGTATATTGAAATCAGTGCCTAGAAAATAGAGCATATATATACCCATAATAAAGTCATAGCCCAGGCGCAGTGGATCATGCCTATAATCCTAGCACTTTGGGAGGCTGAGGCAGACAGATCACTTTAAGTCAGGAGTTCGGGACTAGCCTGGCCAACGTGGTGAAACCCTGTCTTTACTAACAATACAAAAATTAGCCAAGTGTAGTGGCACACGCCTGTAATCTCAGCTACTTGGGAGGTTGAGGCAGGAGAATCGCTTGAACCCAGAGGCAGAAGTTGCAGTGAGCCGGGATCATGCCACTACACCCCAGCCTGGGAGACAGAGCGAGACTCCATCTCAAAAGAAAAAAAAAAAAAAAGGGAATTCAAGACCAGCCTGGCCAGAATGGTGAAACTGTCTCTACTAAAAATACAAAAATTAGCCAGGGGTGGTGGTGCATGCCTGTTGTCCCAGCGACTGGGGAGTCTGAGGCAGGAGAATCGCTTGAACCCGGGAGGTGGAGTTTGCACTGAGCCGATTGTGCCACTGCACTCCAGCCTGGGTGACAGAGTGAGATTCTGTCTCAAAATAAATAAATAAATAAATAAATAAATAAATAAATAAATAGTAACAAAATATGATTACATATTAGACTTCCAAAAAATCTTCTATAAGTGCATTCTGGTAAGAAGAACAATATGCCCATGGAAAAAGGAAAATTTTGACACAATATTTAAAAAATATATCTTATAGAAAACATCCAAAAGAAATAAGATGAATTTTATAGAAAAATGGGCCATTCAGTGTGCAGTAAACAGTGTGGCATAAATAAGAGGTAAACACTATTCTTTTTTTTTATTTTTTGAGATTGAGACGAGGTCTTGCTATGTTGCCCAGGCTGGTCTTGAACTCCTGAGCTCAAGGGATCCTCCCATGTTGGCCTCCCAGAGTGCTGGCATTAGCCACCTCGCCCGGCCCCTGCATACCATTTTTGCACTATGTGTTTATACATGTTAGTATACTTTGCTACGTGATTTTAAAATATGACACTTGGTTTCACAACTAGTCTGTTTATAGCCTTGAATTCAGCACAATTCTAAGCAGAATTTCTATACTATAAAAACACTGTTCTGGCTGGACATGGTGGCTCACTCCTGTAATGCCAGCACTTTGGGAGGCTGAGGCCAGCAGATTATTTGAGGTCAGGAATTTGAGACCAGCCTGGCCAACATGGTGAAACCCCATCTCTACCAAAAATACAAAAATTGGCCAGGCTTGGTGGGGCACACCTGTAGTCCTAGCTACTCTGGAGACTGAGGCAGGAGAATCGCCTGAACCCAGGAGATGGAGGTTGCAGTTAGCCGAGATCGCGCCACTGCACTCCAGCCTGGGTTACAGAGCAAGACTCCATCTCAAATGAACAAACAAACAAACAAACAAAAATAAAATAAGAACAATGCTCTGGCAGGGCATATCAGTGAAGCAGAAATAGATACCTTCTTATAACTCACAGCTGCTCATCTGGGAATTCTTTTTAATTGTGGTGATATAAATAGACTAAGTAAGCCTTTTAAAATCTAAGCATTACAGGTTTCCCATAGAAACTGTTGCCTAAAAACTTTACCTATGTTTTCAGTAATTTTATTATTTATTTTTTCTTTTACTGAAGTTTAAATTAAAATTTTTTGTTTTTCTTTTGAGACAGTATCTCACTCTGTTGCCTGGGCTGGAGTGCCATAGCACAATCACAGCTCACTGTAGCCTCAACCTCCCAAGCTCAAGCAATTCTCCCATCTGAGCCTCCCAAGTAACTGGGACGACAAGCATGCATCACCATACCCAGCTAATTTTTGCTTTTTTTTTTTTTTTTTTTTTTGTAGAGACAGAGTTTTGCCATGTTGCCCAGGCTGGTCTCAAACTTCCAAGCTCAAGTGATCAGCCTGCCTCAGCCTCCCAGAGTGGTGGGATTACAGGTGTGAGCGACTGCACCCGACCACCTGGCTAGTTTTTAAATTTTTTGTAGAGACAGGGTTTTGCCATGTTTCTCAGGCTGGTCTTGAACTCCTGGGCTTAAGTGATCCACACACCTTGGCCTCCCAAAGTGCTGGAATTACAGGCATGAGCCACCATACCCAGCCCAAATGTCATTTTTCACAGTACTAGAAAAAAAATCCTAAAATTTGTATGGAACTAAAAAACAGCCTGAATAGCCAAAGCAATCACAGCTGAATATTTTAGTTGAAAGAAATGGCCATTGCCACAGGAAGAGATAGGGGTTACTTGGCTTGAGAAGGTTATTTTAAAAATTTTTATTTTAATTTTTCTTATTTTCTGAGATAGAGTCTCACTCTTATCACCCAGGCTGGAGTGCAGTGGCACAATCATAGCTCAATGTATCCTCAAACTTTTGGGCTCAAGTGATCCTCCTGCCTTGGCCTCCCAAAGTGTTGGGATTACAGGCATGAGCCACCGTGCCTGGCCCAGTTTGAGAAATTTAAAAGGGCCTCTGTTTCACCAAAGTTTAAAAAAAGAGATCTAGGATTTCTTGGTTTGTAAATCACTATGGTGGCTTAACTCCTCTGTTTAAAGATCACTTATCTTCAGAGTATTTCTTTTGAGGCAGCGTCTTGCTCTGTCACCCAGGCTGGAGTGCAGTGACGTGATCATAGCTCATTGCAGTTTTGAACCCCTGGGCTCAAGCTATTCTCCTGCCTCAGCCTCCCAAAGTGCTGGTATTACTGGTATGAACCACTTCGCACAGGCTTCTGAGTGTCTCTTAAGGGATGAGGGTTATATGTAAGATCTGATGTTGCTTTGCTTTAGATATCATGGTCAAATATAGAGGGCAGGCAGAGTTTAGCTGATATATACAAAAATGAAACATATGTCATCTCAATTTTTTTTAGATCATTTGCTATAAAGCTTCCATTGCATCCCTGTGTTTTGCACTTGAAAGGTAATGCTTCCCCATGTTATCAATCTTGTGCAAACTGCTTTTTTGATGGTACTATGAATCGATATTTCCAAGAGGTATTATTATTTTGATTTTAGGGTACTATCTGCGTTTCAAAAGACAAGATCCCAGAATGTCAAAAGATAGAGTATCATTGTTAACTGTTCTACCAGGTTTGGAGGCTCTGTGGGACATTAGGAAGAGCCTGCCTGGGTGTTAGATTCAAGCCATCTGAGTTCTTTTCTTTGTCGGGAGATTTAGCTGTGATAATTCGGTAGGTTGCTGAACTTCCTCCAAGCCTCAGTTTCCTCATAAAGAAAGTCAAGGCAGGTTTTACGACAAGGAAACAGATTCTGAGATGAAGACGGCTTCACAGAGTGGGAGGTTGGGCTAGAAAGGATCAGGTTACCTCATAACTCAGATTCTGACTCAGTTCTGATGTTCTCCACAAGAGTGTAATTTAGGTCATTTGCTTTTTATTTTCTTGAAAAAAGAAAAAAGCGCATATGTATGTATCCTTATCCAGTTTTTTAACCTCTCAATAGTACAAAATAAATTCATATTTTGACAATTTGCTAGGGTAAATACATATACATTGTTATTTGTATACTTCAGAAATTCATTTAGGAATTTTCCTTTTAAAACAAAGCACCCTTTCAATGAATAATTATACCTATATTATAGAAAGCTTAGAAACCATAGGCAAGCAGAAGACAGAAAAAGAATTTACGTTCATCCCTTTGAAGTTACTTTAGTGCATTTTTCTTGCAGGCTTTTTGCTTTGCAAAGAATTACATTATTGTAATATTTAGTAATTAGATTTTAGGAATAAATAAGTAGTAATTATAAATTGGCTGGGCACAGTGGCTCACGCCTGTAATCCCAGCACTTTGGGAGGCCGAGGTGGGCAGATCACGAGGTCAGGAGATCGAGACCATCCTGGCTAACATCACATGGTGAAACCCCATCTCTACTAAAAAATACAAAAAATTAGCCAGGAGTGGTGGCAGGCGCCTGTAGTCCCAGCTACTCGGGAGGCTGAGGCAGGAGAATGGCATGAACCCGGGAGGTGGAACTTGCAGTGAGCCAAGATCACGCCACTGCACTCTAGCCTGGGCGACAGAGCGAGACTCCGTCTCAAAAAAAAAATTCATTAATTAATTAAAAAAATAAAAAAACAAATTAAGTTCTTGCTAATTTTGTCTTTTCCTCCTTCTTATAATAAAAGGAATTTTTGCATATAAAAAAATCTGTGGAAAAATGCTGGGTGCAATGGCTCACGCCTTAATTCCAGCACTTTGAGAGGCCGAGGTGGGCAGATCACTTGTCAGGAGTTCCAGACCAGCCTGGCCAACATGGTGAACCTCCATCTCTACTAACAATGAAAAAATTAGCCGGGCATGGTGGTAGGTGCCTGCAATCCCAGCTACTAGGGAGGCTGAGGCAGGAGAATTGCTTGAACCCGGGAGGCAGAAATTGCAGTGAGCCGATGTCACGCCACTGCACTCCAGCCTGGACATCAGAGTGAGACCCTGTCTCAAAAAAAAAAAAAAAAAAAAATCTGTAGAGAAGTATAAAGAAGGGAAGGGGATAAAAAAATCATTCAGAATCCCATCCCACATTTTTCCCATGTCAATGGATAGCTGTGTTTAAAAATAAAACTTTTATATCTCATGCTTCCCCTTTCTTCACTTCTTTATCACATTCTTTTTTTTCCCTATGAGTTGCTGTTTTATAGTCCATTCTCCTGAACAGAAGGTAATAATTTCTGCTCCATGGAAGCAGGGATATTTCAGGAATCAACAAAGGTATGTGAAAATGATTTAAAGATTCCTAAATCGTATGCAAACATAATTTTCTCTTGCTCCCAGTTTTCTTTTTTTATAAAGCTCAGAATTTGGATGAGATGTTCTTCCCTGTGGTTGTTCTGGTTTAGAGTCTGCACCCCTCTTTGTTAACTGGTTAGCTCATATTTCCACCAGGTCCCCTTTCCTCTCTGTGTCTACATAGAATAAATTATCAAGTATTATGGTGTGAAATAGAATTTTGTGATAAAAACTAAGCATCAAAATAATATTACAATAAAACAAACTTTTGTATCTTGTGGATATTGTTATATTTCCTTAACTGTAGTTTTGTTTTTTGAATTATGTTATTTTACCTTGCTATATATTAAGTTTGCTTGAGATTTTCAGCTAAATTCCCTGAGATGAGCTAGTCTTTGCTGTTCAGCCAGGTTTGGAGGTTGTGTGAAACGGGTCTAAAGATCACACCACCTGAGGTCTATTTCCTTTTTTTTTTTTTAAGACGGGGTCTGGCTCTGTCACCCAGGCTGGAGAGCAGTGGCACAGTCATGGCTCATTGCAGCCTCAACCTCCCAGGCCAAAGCCATCCTCCCACTTCAACCTCCAAAGTAGCTGGGACCACAGGCATGCGCAACCATGCCTGGCTAATTTTTTTTTTTTTTTTGTGGAGATTAGATCTCCTTATGTTGCTTTGCCTTGGCCTCCCAAAGCATGGGGATTACCTGTGCCAGCCACTGTGCCTGGTCTTGAGATCTGTTTCTCAAGTATTATGCCACATAGCTTAGAGGTGGAGGTGGGGCAGACAGCCTAGGGGGCTGACATTTCATCTGCACTTCATTCTCTAAGCAGCACATACTTTGCAGATGTCTTTTTCTAATTTCCACGAGAGTGCCCTATGGGCTAGCAGTGACCATGGCTGGGTTGTTGAGGGGGAGGCAGAAGGTCAGTGTGGTCCTTGATGTCATCTGCTGACACTGGCATCCCTTGGAATAGCTGTCATCCTGTCTGGTCCTAAGATGATAAACCATGCAATTGCCTAGACGATCCACATTCCCATTTCCACAGGCCCTTTCTTTTCATCACTCTGTACTGCTTTGTGCTTCTCTGGGGGTGGGGAAGGCATGGAAATTACCCTGCTCTCATGCTGTTCAGGGCACAGGGAAGCTTCTGCCATTGTGTCTGGTACCATCTGCCCAGGCACACTATGCAGTCATTTCTCTTCAGAGCCTCTGCCTGAGCAATGGGGCCAGGTTTTTATTTCTTCCAGAGACTACCGGCCTATCTAGGGGTTTTGACTCCATCCTCGACCTCAGCCAGTCGTGAGCGGTGCAAGATTAAACAGGTCCACGCATGTGTGTGTCTTTCCACAATGTCAGGCTTTTATTAATGCTATTCCAGTCCACGAGCTACATGGAGTTCCCAAGGAGGCAATTCTTAGTACTTCCTGTTCACTCTGTAGTCAGAGCCATGGGCACACAGACTCAAGCCACTCCACAAGTCAGTCAATATTGCAAACCATATATAATAGTATATTTCATCAATATAGAAATGTTTTAGGTTAAACATTCCATGACAAACAAAGTAACATTTAACATCAAGAGGAAAAAGAGATAGGAGAAAGGATTAATGAACCAGTCCAGTGGGAGCTAAGAAGACAAGAGTCCTGGTCACACCCTGGGGTCCCTTTGGTCTCGAAAGAAGAGTTTTTGAGGTGGCAGAGCCTTCGGTGGCAGGTGCCAAATTCTTATCACAAGTGACTGCAAGACAGTCAGTTAAGACAGCTGTTTTCGAGCTGGAGAAGGTCTAATCCTTTACAGTCACAGAGTTCTCTGGCAAGAACTGATAGTGGAAGAGTACACTTGTTTACATCCTTATCTGGTTGCCAGCAGTCTTTTTTTAATTTGTTTGTTAAACAGAACATCTTATCCTTGTTGGCAAAGTGCTCTATGAAATATAAAATGGAGTCCTTTTTCTTCTTCTTTGAGACGGAGTCTCAATCTGTTGCCCAGTGAGTGCAGTGGCACAACCTCAGCTCACTGCAACCTCCGCCTCCTGGGGTTCAAGTGATTCTCCTGCTTCAGCCTCCTGAGTAGCTGGGATTATAGGCGCCTGCCACCACGACTGGCTAATTTTTGTATTTTTAGTAGAGATGGGGTTTTGCCATCTTTGCCAGGCTTGTCTTGAACTCCTGGCCTCATGATCCACCCATGTCGGCCTCCCAAAGTGCTGGGATTACAGGCATGAACCACCATGCCCAACCAAAATGAAGTCTTTTTCTAAGATGGAATTAGTTATGTCAACTACACAGCCCAAGAGCTGGAGGCAAGTTTCCTCTTTTTGGGACCCATTAGACTCTCTGTTACCACTTCTCTGTTTCCATTGAAGTAAGATAAACTCTTCCTCAAGGCTGAGGACTCTTTTCTAGTCTAGAGGCTGAAGACTGGAGAGAGAAGGGGTAAGACTGGGACATTTCCCTTTTACTCATGTGTTTTCCTCAATATACTGTATGTAGCATGGCTTCTTTTTGACCTCTAAAGCACTTAAGTTTTATTTTTTCATTTTTTATTTTATTTTTAGTTTTCTTCTGCTCACACATCCCAACTGCCTGACCTACGTTTTAAAATCCCAATTCAAGAATAAACTCCTTTAAAGTTTGTTATCTGCTGACACATCCTTCTTCCCAGTCAAGGAACACAGAACAATCCATCTGTCTGAGTGGTGGTGGTGGTTTGTGGGTGAGGAGGCAAAGGGCAGGCTGGAGAAGAAGATACCACCATCCCGCCCATGCATGGGGTATGCGGGTATGGCAGTGCCTTAAGATTTAAAAATATTTAATACATATATTTTTTCTTGTGCTTTTTTCTTTTTTTAAGTCTTAACTGATGCCTTTAAAGGAGTATTTCCTCTATTTAAATAATGTAAGAACCCTTGTAAAATGAAGATCATTCGGCATATCCCTGGGGATGAATCAGATTCATTGAACTGCGATTGTGCAACTGTGCTTTCAGGCAGAGAGTGCTCAAAGGGTAGAACGGCTCTTTTGGAATTCTCAGATATATTTGGCCAGGTTTACCTAGAGGAGAACACGTTGTTTTTAATGAAAGGGATTTAAAGTCACAGTGCACCTTAAGGTGATGACTTTCTGAATGGATGCTCTTTCATGAGACCCAAGTTGCGAGGGTGAGTGCAGGATTGTTTCCTCTTGGAGGAACCCTGATAATCTCTTTGCCTCTCTTTCCTTGAGATGCTTTTCCTTCCATGAAATTTCATGGAGGTGAGGACAAGTCAGCTTGGAGATCATCGTCTTCCTCTTTTGGGCTGTCTCTTTATTCTCTCTTTGGAATCAATCACTTCTAGTAATCCAGAAAATTGGGGAAAGGCTGGGGTGTTTCTTATTGGGAAGAAAGTTTTTTTTTGCATGTGTGTGAGAATGTTTTTCCTTTTTTTTTTTTGCAGTATAATTTACATGCAGTGATATGTACAAATCTTCAGTGAATGGGTTGATGAATGTTTGCCTATGTATACCTACATGTAATCACTACTCAGATCAAAATAGACAACCTGTTCACGACACTGAAAAGTTTTCTAGAGCCCCTTTTCAGTCAAGACCCATTCCTCCAGGTAACTACTATTTTGATTTCTGTCATCTCTTGGGTGGGCTCTTTGGCCTTGTGTGGGTTTCTTCTCTTCTAACAGCTGGTGAGGTAAGCTGGCCCTGCTATTCCCCAGGCCTGAGAAGAAAGAAGCCAGTCTCTGGGAATTATTTAGAAAATTCCAGCCCTCCTCTTCTGTCTTTCAGAACAGAACTTTTTGTTGGATAAGCTTTTTGTTGCTGCTGTTTTTTGGTGGATGGGCTTTTCCTTCTGGAGTGGAAAAGTCTGAGGCTCAAATGCTTAGGGAGAAAGAGCCAAAGTAGGTCCTTTGGCGTGTTTTGGTTCTAGGCTGCACTTGGTTGTCTGAGACAAATTATTTCTCCAAATAGCCCATGCTAATTTATCAATAATAATGCTTTTACTATTTTTCACAATCTACATTCTTCCACTCAATAATATTAATACCCTATCTACTATAATCTATGGCTGGCAATGATGATGTGGATTTAGGTTGTAATAGATGTAATATATGCTTTGACTTGAAAAATGCTGTTAGGGATGTGTAGGTGCTGAGATGTAAGCACTATAATGCTTATATTTTGTTCTGAAGATTTCTTTAAGGATTTCTAAACTCACTGGTTGAAGGGCTGAAACACATGAGACACTGGGGTTGAAGAAGCCTAGCCTAGCAGACACTTAATTTATTCCAACCCCAGTCTTGATGGAGGTTGATGCAAGCTGTTGAAGAAAGGACAAGACTTGACCCAAGCACCTGAGGGTGGCCTCCAGTTGGGTCAAAGAAGAATAGGAATTTGGGAAAGTAAAACTGTGTTTTTTTTTGTGTGTTTTTTTTCAGGAACCAGCAAAGTTTTAATGTTTAATCGTTAATAGCAAAATTGACCAAGGTCCAAGATGTGAAGATACTATGTTTAAGAAACTGGGGGGTAAATCACTCTATAGACTAACTATATAGTATGTGATAAGAATGCACACTTTTTATAAAACCTGTATACACATAGTAGTTAGCTGCAAAAACCCATTCAATCTTCTCTTGGCTTGGAAAAATGGTGTTCCAGATTTCAGTATAAATTATTAGCAACCTTCACCTCTTGTGTGGCAGGTATCTTGTTTTTACTTTCCAGTTCTTCCACCCCAGCCTGTGTCATGAGATCTGCGATGTTCTTTTCCAGATCATCAGTGCAACTACTCATATCATCAGTTCTCCCAATGATCTGGTCAGACATGGTCTGAAATTTATCTTGGATCTGCTGCAGGAGTTTCTGCACCACTGAGGTGAGTTCCTGCTCATTCTTGGGGTCAGTCTCGGCTATATCCCTGGTGCCCATCTAGGTAGTGATTGTAAAACATTTTTTTAACCTATTCTGGGACCTTAAGTTCTTTGTGTAAAATGGAAGGAGATATGTAATGAGGGGGCTATTAATTTATTTCAGGAACAAGTATAGACTTGCTAGTGGGAAGATCCATCTTCTAAAATTTATAGGGTATTGGCCAAGTTCAGGAATTTCACAGTGCTCTCTATGTTGGGATTTTTGGGTTATGTTCTTATGTAATCCACGTTGCATGACCCTTCTAGTAAGTTTGATGAGACAACGTAGCACAGCTTAATTTGATTTTTCTAAGTAGCCGGCATGAGTTTTCTCTAGGTTGTTTACCAATAGACTCTGTGTATATGGACAAGATTTTTTGGTTAGGCAGACTTTACTTTTTGCAGGAGGAGCCTTTAATCTGGGGACATGGAATGTCCAAATACCAGAATGGGGAGGACTTCACTCTGTGGCCTCTTCCCATCCTAGAGGTCTTATTCCCTCTAAGTAATCTATTTTTTTTTTTTTTTTTTAGAGACAAGATCTCATCCTGTCACCCAAGCTGGAGTGCAGTGGCACAATCATAGCTCACTGCAGCCTCCAAACTCCTAGGCTCAAGCAATTTTCTCTCTTCAGCTTCCTGAGTAGCTAAGACGACAGGCTCAGGCCACCAAACCCAGCTAAATTTTAAAAACAAGTTGGTTTTGAACTCCTGACCTCAAGCAATCCTCCTACCTTGGTCTCCCAAAGTTCTGGGATTATAGGCATGAGCCACTGTGCCCTGCCCCTGTGGGTAATTTTTACAATTCTTATTAATATTTATTTTTTTTATTTACTTGTTTATTTATTTATTTATTTTTGAGACAGAGTCTCACTCTGTTGCCCAGGCTGGAGTGCAGTGGCACGATCTTGGCTCACTGCCACCTCCGCCTCCCGGGTTCAAGGAATTCTGCCTCTGCCTCCTGAGTAGCTGGGATTACAGGCGCCCGCCATCACGCCCGGCTAATTTTTTGTATTTTTAGTAGAGAAGGGGTTTCACCATCTTGGCCAGGCTGGTCTTGAACTCTGACCTTGTGAACCACCCGCCTCAGCCTCCCAAAGTGCTGGGATTACAGACGTGAGCCATCATGCCTGGCCTAATTATTATTATTCTTTGAGACAGTATCTCTCACACTGTCATCCAGGCTGTAGTGCAGTGGCACAATCATAGGCTGTCTGCAGTCTCAACTTCCCGGGCTCAAGTGATCCTCCCACCTGAGCCTGCTGAGTAGCTGGTACTACAGGTGTGCACCATCATGCCCTACTATTTTTTTTTTTTTTTTTTTTTTTTAAGTAGAGACAGGGTTTTCCTTTGTTGCCTAGGCTGCTCTCAAACTCCTGGACTCGAGTGATCCTCGCACCTCAGCCTCCCAAAGTGGTGGGATTACAAGTGTGAGCCACCACACCCAGTCCAATTATTTTTTAAAAAATTTCTAGGGGATTTTCTTTAACCCCTGTAAGCAAAGTGCTAGTGCCCATATGAATAGATACAGGGATATGAGGAGATGGAAGGGGCAGGTTGTGGGACACTGACTGGGGTAGCTTTCCCATGGTCAGAATTGTACTTACATCCCTCTCTTTTGGCCTATTTTTTTTTCTTCCAGGCCACTTAATTTTATTTGCTTGTTTATTTTTAATTGTTTTCTTTTTAAAAATAAATTCTGGCTGGGCATGGTGGCTCATGCCTGTAATCCCAGCACTTTGGGAGGCCGAGGTGGGTGGATCACCTGAGGTCAGGAGTTTGAGACCAGCCTAGCCAACATGGTAAAACCCCGTCTCTACTAAAAATACAAAAATTAGCTGGGCGTGGTGGCAGGTGCCTGTAGTCCCAGCTACTCAGGAGGCTGAGGCAGGAGAATCACTTGAACCTGGGAGGCGGAGCTTGAAGTGAGCTGAGATCATGCCACCGCACTGCAGCCCGGGCGACAGAGTTAGACTCCATCTCAAAAAAAAAAAAAAAAAGCTGTCAAGCATAATTTGGGATAGCAGTGGAATATGTATTTTTGTTCTTCGTCTGTAAGCAAAGTTTCATGGAATATGTATAGTCACATATAGTGTGATTTTAAGATTAAACAGTCAATTCTTTATTATTATTATTATTAATTTATTTTTTTAAGACAGTCTTCCTGTGTCACCCAGGCTGGAGTGCAGTGGCGTGATCTCGGCTCACTGCAACCTCCGCCTCCTGGGTTCAAGTGATTCTCACGCCTCAGCCTCCCAAGTAGCTGGGACTATAGGCACGCGCCACCATGCCCGGCTAATTTTTGTATTTTTAGTAGAGACGGGGGTTTCACCATGTTGACCAGGCTGGTCTTGAACTCCTGACCTCAGGTGATCCACCCACCTCAGCCTCCCAAAGTGCTGGGATTACAGGTGTGAGCCACCGCGCCCGGCCAGAATAGTCCATTCTTTATTATTTCAGATGCTTCTAGAGTCAGAACGTAGAAACATTCACAAGGTGTTGAGGGACAGAGCTTTCTGTCTCAGGTAGATTGGAAGCATTAACAATTTTCTGACAAAGGGATAGGCAAGATATTCAGATATTCTTCTGATATTTTCCCCTTCTAATTGGCCATTGGACATGCTATTGAACTTGTTAATTAAACAGGCAAAAAACCAAAACACAGTGAGTGCTGATTTGGGAAAAGATTATAGTTCCTGTCCCCGATAACTCCATCAGTGCCAGAAACTTCAATTTGCCTATCTAAATCCAAGTTCCCTTTCTTTCTTAAATGTAGAAACCCTTTCATTTTTTGGTTGTGGCAATGTTCTCAGCTATATGTCCAGCCTCTTTTACAGGTAGGTGTATCATCCAATAGAGTTCTAGCAGATGAGATGTAAACAGAAGATGTAAATAGGGTAGAGATTTCTTGGAAAGCTCCTTAAAAGGGGGCTGACCTGGCTGGGCACAGTGGCTCATGCGTGTAATCCCAGTACTTTGGGAGGCTGAGGTGGGTGGATCACCTGAGGCCAGGAGTTTGAGACCAGCCTGGCCAACATGGTGAAACTCCATCTCTACTAAAAGAACAAACAAAAAAATTAGCCAGGCATGGTGGCACGTGTCTGCAATCCCAGCTACTTGGGAGGCTGAGGCAGTACAATGGCTTAAAGCTGGGAGGTGGAGGTTGCAGTGAGCCAAGATGGCGCCATTTCACTCCAGCCTAGGTGACGGAGTGAGACTCTGTCTCAAAAAACCAAAACAAAACAAAACGGGGGCTGACCTGCTGACAAAATTCTTTTACCTCTGTTCTTCTTCCTGACTGAAGGGAATTCCAAGGTTCCAGGAATTCAGAATGGGGTCTAGAAGGGGCTCTGGGCTCTGAGTGGCAAGTCATTGTTCCTGCAGTCTCCTTCTTCCAGAAGGGTGAAGTCAAAGGAGGACCCAAGTGAAAGAATTTTTTTTTTTTTTTAATTTTTTGAGATGGAGTCTTGCTCTGTCGCCTGGGCTGGAGTTCAGTGGCGCAATCTGGGGTCACCGCAACATCCGCCGCCTGGGTTCAAGCAATTCTCCTGCCTCACCATCCCAAGTAGCTGGGACAACAGGTGCACGCCACCACGCCCAGCTAATTTTTGTATTTTTAGTAGAGATGGGGGTTCATCATGTTGGCTAGGCTGGTCTTGACCTCCTAGCCTCGTGATTTGCCCTCCTCAGCCTCCCAAAGTGTTGGGATTACAGGCCTGAGCCACTGCACCCGGCCGAGAGAATTTCTTTTTTTTTTTTTTTTTTTTTTTTTTTTGAGACGGAGTCTCGCTCTGTTACCCAGGCTGGAGTGCAGTGGCGCAATCTCGGCTCACTGTAAGCTTCGCCTCCCAGGTTCACGCCATTCTCCTGCCTCAGCTTCCCAAGTAGCTGGGATTACAGGTGCCTGCCACCACGCCTGGCTAATTTTTTGTATTTTTAGTAGAGACGGGGTTTCACTGTGTTAGCCAGGATGGTCTCGATCTCCTGACCTCGTGATCCACCCGCCTCGACCTCCCAAAGTGCTGGGATTACAGGCGTGAGCCACCGCGCCCGGCGAGAGAATTTCATTGTAAGGATAAGAATGCTAATTTAGTCCTGTTGATGACTTGGTATTCTGTGCGTAGACAGGCATTTCCAGCTTAACTCCAGTAATTCGTTTCTGAAAACCAGACTATATGGTACAGAAATATTAACAAGAAACATATTTTACATCATATTAGTTTGTAAAAATTAGATCTTCCTTAGCCAATTCCCTGAAATGTAGATACACATAGCTAAATATCATATATAATAAGTAAACTGTCAAGTGAGGGTGGAAAAATGTTTAATGTGTTATTTCTTGGTCACCAAAAAATTGATATGGCTGTTAACATCTGTCTTAGTCCCTTTAGTGTTGCTGTAAAGGAATACCTGAGATTGAGTAATTTATTTTAAAAAGGTTTATTTGGCTTATTTGGTTGGCTGGAAACTTCAAATGGGGCATCTGTGTCTGGGGAGGGCTGCAGGCTGCTTTCACTAGGGAGGTGCCAGGCTCTTTTTATCAACCAGCCCTGTGGGAGCTAATACAGACTGAGAACTCACTCACCTGGAGGGAGGGCATAATTTATTAATGACAGATCCATCCCCATGACCCAAACACCTCCCGTTAGGCCTGCCTCCAATATTGGGGATCAAATTTCAACATGAGGTTTGGAGGCAACAAACATCCAAACCATAGCAACGTCTTTCTTTGTTTTATATAAAGTTCATATGGTCTTTTATGTTTTTTGTTTTCTTTCTTTCTTTCTTTCTTTTTTTTTTTTAAGAAATGAGGCCTCACTGCACTGCCCAGCCTGGTCTCAAACCCCTGGGCTCAAGCAATCTGCCCACCTTGGCCTCCCAAAGTGCTGGGATTACAGGTGTGGGCCACTGTGCCTGGCCAATTGAATTTTAACAGTCACATTTCTAAATTTGAGTGTAGTGACGTGATCTTGGCTCACTGCATCCTTGACCTCCTGGACCAAAGAAATCCTCCCACCTCAGCCTCTTGGGGAGCTGGGACTACAGGCATGAGCCACTATGTCCAGCTAATTTTTTTGATTTTCTTGTAGAGATGGGATCTCGCCATGTTGCTCAGGCTGGTCTTGAACTGCTGAGCTCAAGCAATCCTCCTGCCTTGGCCTCCCAAAGTGCTGAGATTATAGATGTGAGCCACCTCACCCAGCCTATTAACAGCCACGTTTCTAACATAAGATCAGACTGCATGGTTTCAGCTTGTTTTCCTTTAAGCCTATGTGTTGCGCCTCACCTGCTTCTGGCATTTGGTAGACTCTTCCCCTTGACTTCAGGACCATCTCCATGTATACCTCCTGGATTATATTCTTTCTTTTTTTTTTGAGACGGAGTCTCGCTCCGTTACCCAGGCTGGAGTGCAGTGGTGCGATCTTGGCTCACTGCAACCTCTGCCTCCCGGGTTCAAGCAATTCTCCTGTCTCAGCCTCCCAAGTAGCTGGGAATACAGTCGCCTGCCACCACGCCCGGCTAAGTTTTGTATTTTTAGTAGAGACGGGGTTTCACCTTGTTGGTCAGGCTGGTCTCGAACTCCTGACCTCAGGTGATCCACCCGCCTCGGCCTCCAAAAGTGTGGGATTACAGGCATGAACCACTGTGCCCAGTGATTGTATTCTTTTATAAGATGGTCAGTCAGTGTGGCCACAAGAGGACACACAGGAGAGGCTCAGGAAAATGAAGTTTATTATATTCACAGGCTCTACAGACAGAAGGCATGCCACTCCATCCAGGGCCACATGGAAAATCCACCAAAATGGGCAGGAGGTAAAAGACAGGAGTGGGTAGAGGGTTTAGGCCAGAGTTTTCATCAGGGCATCCCCAAAAGAAAGTCAAGGTGGATAGGGTAAACAGTGTCCAACTGGCTACTTTGAATAATTTCCACAGGCTCTAGGCTATAGGGGTGGTCTCTAGTTTGCCTGGCACCTGGGCCTGAGATGATTAAGGCAAAGGAATATTATACCACCCCCTGGAATGTAAGGGCCAGATGGAGGAGGTAGGGCTCCGGATTGGTTGGTTTGTATAACAAAGATGTGCTTTCTTTGCTATGTCTTAAATATTGGCTAGTCAGGGTCAGGTGCAGTGGTTGATGCCTGTAATCCCAAAACTTTGAGAGGCCTAGGTTGGAAAATTGCTTGAGGCCAAGAGTTCAAGACCAGCCTGGGCAGCACAGCAAGACCCCATCTCTAAAAAAAATTAAAAATATAGCTGGGGCATGATGGTGCCTGTCTGTAGTCCTAGCTACTCAGGTAGCTGAGGCAGGAGGATTGCTTGAGCCCAGTAGTTCAAAGCTACAGTGACCCCTGATCTTGCCACTGCACTCCAACCTGGAGCAAGACCCTGTCTCAAAAGGAAAAAAAAAAAAAAGAAATGTTTAGCCCAGAGAGAACCAGTTTCTCCTCAGCCAGATACACACACACGCACACGCACACGCACACACACACAGTGCATACATATGTATACATATACAATACATACAGCTCAGTCCTGTTGATCAGATTCCAGGTCACATCCTTGAACTGCAGGGGGCTCCTTTGTCTTCTCTCCCTTTTTTTTTTTTGAGACCGAGTCTCACTCTGTTGCCCAGGCTGGAGTGCAGTGGCGCTATCTTAGATCATTGCAACCTCTGCCTCCTGGGTTAAAGCGATTCTCCTGCCTCAGCCTCCCAAGTAGCTGAAATTACAGGCGTGTGCCACCATGCCCAGCTAATTTTTGTATTTTTAGTAGAGACCGGGTTTTGCCACGTTGGCCAGGCTGGTCTTGAACTCCTGGCCTCAAGTGATCCACCCACTTTGGCCTCCCAAAGCACTAGGATTACAGGCATGAGCCACCGTGCCTGGCCTTGACTAGGTATTTTATCCTGACTTTCAGTTGGTTCTTCCTTTTGTCGAAGTTGTTCGTTACTGGGCTGTGGGCAACCACAGATCTAAATAGTAGGGAGCAGGTTATTTTACCTTTTGGTGGCCCAGTTTCCAGATCATAAAAATTATTAAAGTGTTTTTATGAGACTTATGTGGCATACTATTTGTAAAGCATGCAGCACAGTGCCTGGCATAAAGTTGGTCTTCAATAAATATAATCTTTTTTAAATTACAATTTTTTTTTTGAAATAGGGTCTCATTCTGTCTCTCAGGCTGGAGTACAGAGACATGATCACAGCTCATTCCAACCTCAAACTCTTGGGCTTAAGTGATCCTCCCACCTCAGCCTCCTGAGTAGCTTGGACCACAGACGCACACCACCACATCAGGCTAGCTAAAAAAAATGGTTTCTAGCAACAGGGTCTCACTGTATTATTGCCCAGCTGGTCTCCAGTTCTTGGCCTCAAGTGATCTTCCCACCTCGGTATCCCAAAGCACTGAGATTATAGGCATGAGCCACCCATCTGACTAATACATATGATCTTAATTCAATTAATAATTATTAAGGAACTACTCTGTGCCAGGCACTATGCTAGAAATAGGTCTTGAATAAGAAATAGTTTCTTTTTTTTTCTTTTTTCTTTTTTTTTTTTGAGACAGAGTCTCGCTCTTGCTCTGTTGCCCAGGCTGGAGTGCAATGGTGTGATCTCAGCTCACTGCAACCTCCATCTCCTGGCTCCAAGCAATTCTCCTGCCTCAGCCTCCTGAGTAGCTGGGATTACAGGCACACACCACCACACCGGGCTATTTTTTGTATTTTTAGTACAGACAGGGCTTCATCATATTGGTCAGGCTGGTCTCGAACTCCTGACCTCATGATCCACCTGCCTCGGCCTCCCAAAGTGCTGGGATTATAGGCGTGAGCCACCGCGCCTGGCAGAAATAGTTTCTTAACAGAAGAATCTATTCTGAAGAAAGAAAAAGAAGGAAAGAAAGAAAGGAAGGAAGGAAGGAAGGGAGGGAGGGAGGGAGGAAGGAAGGAAAGAAAGAAAAAGAAAGAAAGAAAGAAGGAACTCTTTTGGGTCTTACATATTCTGGCGGGACACAGACAGGTAAACTGCTGAGGATAACATACTGTGATAAGTACTGCCAGATGTGTAATTAGAGATTCTTATAGAAGCACATTAGAATGGCTGCAAGTTCAAGGTTGGAGCTCAGGGCTCCCAGAGTAAAGGATGCCAAAGCTGAGGCCTGTAGGGTAAGTCGGTATGAGCCAGAAGAAGAGGAGGGATGCCTTGCACTTCCAGGGAATCTCAGAGGAATCTGGATGGTTGAAACCAAGAATGGCAGACCAAGCCTATGGCTAAGAAGGTGAGAGTTGAAGCTAGAGAGGAAAGCAGAAAATCCATCAGTAGGGGCCTTATCAACAGTTGGACATTTAAAACCTTATCCTAAAAGGGATGTTCAGCCATTAAAAATGTGTAATCGGGGATAGACAGCATCCTGAAGGGCCCAAGGTTTCACGGAGGGGTAGTCAATCATGTCAGTGCCGCAAAGCCTGGGTCCAATCACATGATAACTGAAATATTTCCGTGTGATTTACAAGGAGATCATTAGTGATCTTGGCAAAAGCAGTTTTCAAAAGACAGTAGAGGTAGAAGCCAGATGATGTTGATTAGTGACATGAATTGGAAATGAGAAAAGGGTTACAGCTTGTCAGTAGAATAGATGTTCTATGGGGGGAGGGAGTTTTG
The DNA here is from genome assembly GCF_000001405.40 of Homo sapiens. Classification (NCBI taxonomy): domain Eukaryota; kingdom Metazoa; phylum Chordata; class Mammalia; order Primates; family Hominidae; genus Homo; species Homo sapiens. The sequence goes on from NC_000004.12 coordinate 110,260,757, forward strand.
TCTACCGTGTTCTTTGTTGAATCCCTAGTGCTTAAAACAAAACCTGGCATGCAGTTGACACTTGCAGACACAAATATTAAAATTTGCTGAATAAATGAAGTAACTGTGTAGAACATTTGTCTCTGAAGAGAAAGATAGACCTACACTTTCCGGGTTGAAGGATTGAGAATGGGTGGATTTTATATGGAGTGGGAAATCATGTTTAAATGCTGACAGAAAAGGAGCCAGAGAAAAAGTACTCAGAGGTGAGCAAAAAAGAAGGGAAGTTCAGAGGAATGAAACTCTAAGGAGGCAGGAGGGGCAGGGCACCAAATGCAGCAGAGGAATGAGACGTGGGATGAGGAAGGCCACCTCAGGTTCCCACTGAAAGACAGGACGAGAGGATGAGTGGCCTATACGGGGAGAGTGGTCAGTGGCAGAGGCTGAGCACATTTTGTTTGGAGGTTTCATTTTCTCTTGAAATAGGAGTGAGATTGTTGGCTGAGAATGGGAAGGAAGGAGGAGAAGAGAGTAGAGAGTAAGTCTGAAACACAGTAGTCACTATGATCAGAGGAGTGAGAGCTTGCTGGGAACACAAAAGAATTGCCAGCTGGTGTGGAGGTACTTCTGAGACTGGACACTCGAATCTATAGTTCCACAGCCCTGGGCTACGATTCCTTTCTCTCTTCTCAATCCACATCACTCTCTTTACCTAATTCTTTTTTATTTTTGTGGGTACATAGTAGGTGTATATATTCATGGGGTATGTGAGACATTTTGATGCAGGCATGCAATGCATAATAATCACATCAGGGTAAACAGGGTATGCATCACTTCAAGCATTTATCCTTTCTTTGTGTTACAAACAATCCAATTATACTCTTGTAGTTATTTTTCAATGCACAATGAATTATTATTGACTGTAGTCAACCTGTTGTACTATCAAGAACTAGATCTTCGGTTGAGTGCGGTGGGTCACACCTATAATCCCGGCACTTTGGGAGGCCAAGGTGGGTGGATCACCTGAGGTCAAAAGTTCAAGACCAGCCTGGCCAACATTGTGAAACCCTGTCTCCACTAAAAGCACAAAAATTATCTGGACGTGGTGGCGGGCGTGGTGGTGGTGGTAACCTGTAATCCCAGCTACTCAGGAGGCTGAGGTAGGAGAATCACGAAACTGGGAGGTGGAGGTTGCAGTGAGCCAGGATTGCGCCACTGCACTCCAGCCTGGGAGACAAGAGTGAGACTCCATCTTAAAAAAAAAAAAAAAAGAACTAGCTCTTCATTCTAACTAATAATTTTTTTGGTGCCCATTAACATACCCCTTGCCACCCACCACCCTTCCCAGCCCCGGTAATCATTGTTCTGTTCAGTTGTTTTAATTTTTAGCTCCCACAAATAAGTGAGAATATGAGAAGTTTGTCTCTCTGTGTCTGGATTATTTCATTTAACATAATGTCCTCCAGTTCCATCCATGTTGTTACAAATGACAGGATCTCATTTTTAAGAAAATATTACACTTTTTTTTGAGACAGAGTTTCGCTCTTGTTGTCCAGGCTGGAGTGCAATGGCGTGATCTCGGCTCACCATGACCTCCACCTCCCAGATTCAAGCGATTCTCCTGCCTCAGCCTCCCGAATAGCTGGGATTACAGGCATGCACCACCATGCCCGGCTAATTTTGTATTTTTAGTAGAGATGGGGTTTCTCCATGTTGGTCAGGCTGGTCTTGAACTCCCAACCTCAGATGATCCACCCACTTCGGCCTCCCAAAGTGCTGGGATTACAGGTGTGAGCCAGCCACCATGTCCGGCCTAAATAACATTTTGGAAATAAAATTGAAATAGAGATGAGGCCTCACTATGTTGTCTAGGGTGGTCTTGTACTCCTTGGCTCAAGCGATCTGCCCACTTCTACCTTCCAAAGTTCTGGGACTACAGGCACGAGCCACCTTGCCTGGCCTCCTCGTGTGTGTGTGTGTGTGTGTGTGTGTGTGTGTGCGCGCACGCATGTGTGTGTGTGAAACAGATTCTTGCTGTGTCACCCAGGATGGAGTGCAGTGGCACAATCTCGGCTCACTGCAACCTCTACCTCCCAGGTTTAAGTGATTCTTGTGCCTTGGCCTCCCGAGTAGCTGGGACTACAGGCACGTGCCACCATGCCTAGCTAATTTTTTTAGTTTTAGTAGAAAACGGGTTTCGCCATGTTGGCCGGGTTGGTCTTGAACTCCTGACTTCAAGTGATCTGCCTGCCTCGGCCTCCCAAAGTGCTGGGATTAATGGTGTGAGCCGGCTGGGTGCAGTGGCTCATGCCTGTAATCCCAGCACTTTGGGAGGCCAAGGTTGGATGGATCACCTGAGGTCAGGAGTTTGAGACCAGCCTGACCAACATGGCGAAACCCCATCTCTACTAAAAATACAAAAATTAGCTGGGGGTGGTGGTGTGTGCCTGTAATCCCAGCTACTGGGGAGGCTGAGGCAGGAGAATCACTTGAACCTGGGAGGCGGAAGTTGCAGTGAGCTGAGATTGTGCCATTGCACTCCAGCCTGGACCATAAGAGTGAAACTCTGTCTCAAGAAAAAAAAAAAAAAAAAAAGGTGTGAGCTACTGCGCCCAGCCAACCTCATTCTTTTTTTATGGTTGAGTAGTACTCCATTGTATATATGTACCACACTTTCTTTATCTGTTCATCTGCGATGGACACTTAGGTTGCTTCCAAATCTTGGCTATTGTGAATAGTGCTGCAATATACATGGGAGTGCTGATATCTCTTTTATATATTGATTTGCTTTCTTTTGGGCATATACCTAGCAGTAAGATTGATGGATTGTATGGTAGTTCTATTTTTAGATTTCTTTTGGAACCTTCAAACTGTTGTCCACAGTGACTATATTACATTCCTACCAACAGTGTACGAGGGCTCCCTTTTCTCCACATCCTCACCAGCATTTGTTATTGCCTGTCTTCTGGTTAAAAGCCATTTTTACTGGGGTGAAATGATATGTCATTGTAGTTTTGTTTTGCATTTCTCTGGTGACCATTGATGTTGAGCACCTTTTCATATGCCTGTTTGCCATTTGTAAGTCTCCTTTTGAGAAATGTCTATTCAAATCTTTCACCCATTTTTTAATCAGATCATTAAATACTTTCCTATTGAGTTGTTTAAGATCCTTATGTATTCTGGTTACTAATCCTTTGTCAGATGGATAGCTTGCAAATAATTTTTTTCTATTCTCTGGGTCATTGCTTCACTGTGTTGTTTTCTTTGCTGTGCAGAAGCTTTTTATCTTGATGTGATTCCATTTGCCTATTTTTGCTTTGATTGCCTGTGCTTGTTGGGTATTGAAAAATCTTTTCAATATTGGCCCAGATCAATATCTTGGAAAGTTTTCCCCGTGTTTTCATTTAGTAGGTTCATAGTTTGAGGCCTTAGATTTAAGATTTTAGTTTATTTTGATTTGATTTTTGTATATGGTCAGAGATGGGGTGTAGTTTCATTCTTCTGGATATGGATATCCAGTTTTCCCAGCACCATTTATTGAAGAGACTGTCTTTTCCCCCATGGTTGATCTTGATATTTTTGTCAAAAATGAGTTCACTGCAGATGCATGAATTTACTTCTGGCTTCTCTATTCTGTCCCATTGGTCTATGTGTCTGTTTTTATGCCGGTACCATGCTGTTTTGGTTACTATAGCTCTGTAGTAAAATTTAAAGTCAGGTAATAAGATTCTTCCAGTTTTATTTTTTTGCTCAAGATGGCCTTGGCTATTCTGGGTATTTTGTGGTTCCATATAAATTTTAGAATTATTTTTTATATTTCTGAAGAATGTCATTGATATTTCTATAGGGACTGCATTGAACCTGTAGATTGCTTTTGGTGGTATGGACATTTTCAATAATATTGATTCTTTTAGTCAGTGAACATGGAATATCTTTCCTTTTTTGTGTCCTCTTCGATTTCTTTCATCGATGTTTTATAGTTTCCATTGTAGCAATCTTTTGCTTCTTTGGTTATTTCCTAGGTATTTTATTTTATTTGTAGCTATTGTAATTGGGATTACTTTTTTTTCCAAATAAAGAATAATCTTTATTTAGAAAAATCTGTTTAAGAAAATATTATTACCTAACTGCTCACAAATATCTTGAAGGTCTGTGGCAAATCCAAATAGATCCTGGTTTCTCTACCTCGGACAGACTCTGCTTTTCTAAATTCATCTCCATTATAAATACTCTCCAGGACCAACAATTCATCCTCTTGAGCTTCCTGGTCTTCTGACAACATTAAATTTTCTGAGGAATGGTTAATAAAAATCAGAAGAAAAGGATATGAACACCACAGTCTGTGTTTCAGTTCAGGGGGGAGTTCGTGCAAATCCCATTTATTCTCCAGCTGGTGGAGCTGAGACTGCTGAAGCTGGGTGAGAGGCTGAGATGTGGAACTCATGTGGAAGTCCTGCCATCGCCACCAGCCGAGCAGGCCTAGAGACACACTGCGCAACCTGCACACTGCCTCTTCCGTTCTGGGGAGCTGTCAGCTCAGGATTACATTCTTGATTTCTTTTTTAGATTGTTCACTGTTGGCATATAAAAAAGAAACTGATTTTTATATGTGGATTTGTATCCTGCAATTTTACTGAATTTGTTTTTCAGTTCTAAGTTTTTTTTATGGAGTCTTTAGGTTTTTCCAAATATAAAATCATATCATCTGCAAATAAGGATAATTCGACTTCGTCCTTTCCAATTTGGATGTCCTTTGTTTCTTTCTCTTGTCTGATTGCTCTAGCTAGGACTTCCCCCTTTATTTAACTCTTTACTACATAAATAAATGTTTCATTTTGACCAACTAAAGAAGCATACAAATATATTTCACTTACCTCAGACAGGGAAGTTACTCTTTCATTTAGTAATATGTATATAAAGCTCCTCCATGCCTTTTTATGGCTTGATAGCTTTTTTTTTTTAATTTTTTTTTAGATGGAGTCTCACTCTATTGCCCAGGCTGGAGTACAGTGGTGCAATCTCAGCTCACTGCAACCTCCATCTCCCAGGTTCAAGTGATTCTCCTGCCTCAGCCTCCCTAGTAGCTGGGATTACAGTGCATACCACCATGCCAAGTTAGTTTTTTTTTTTTTTTGTATTTTTGTAGAGATGGGGTTTTGCTATCTTGCCAGGCTTGTCTTGAACTCGTGACCTCAGGTGATCTGCCTGCCTTGGCCTCCCAAAGTGCTGAGATTACAGGTGTGAGCCACTGTGCCCAGCCAGGTCATTTCCTTTTAGTGCTAAATAATAGTTCATTGCCTGGATGTACCAGTTTATTCATTCACCTACTGAAGGACATTGTGGTTGCTTCCAAGTTTTGGTAATTATGAATAAAGTTGCTAAAAATATCTGTGTGCAGGTTTTTGTGGAGACATAAGTTTTCAACTCTTTTGGGTGAATACCAAGCAGTGAGATTGCTGGATCATATGGTAAAGACATGTTTAATTTTGTAAGAAACCGACAAATTGTCTTTCCAAAGTGGCTGAACCACTTTGTATTCCTACTGTCAATGAATGAGAGCTCCTGTTGCTTTACACTGTCACCAGCATTTGGTGTTGTCATTGCCAGATGTGGCAAAGTACAAGTTGCAAATCAAAGGTCAGTCTTTAGGACATCAAAATTGCAAATCTTTAGGGGTTTCATAGGATTGAAATTTCATAAGGCTGAAATCACACCTGGTATGATACATGATATTCCAGATAAAGGGATGAGAGCCATGAAATTAATTGAGCTGCTTTCAGAATGCATCAGATATCAAAATAAAGAACTCCTGACTTTTTTTTTTTTTTTTTAAAGTTAGGGTAGCTAGTCTTTGAAAAGGATCAGGTACTATTTGGCTTGATTTCCCCAAATCAGACCACAGGTCAGACTATTAAATTAGTTATAGAGTATATACCCCTATTAAAAATGGGCACATTGAATTTGCTCCTAGATAAATTGATCTATATGAATCTTGAGAAGGGTTAAAGAAAAAAAATCCATTCATACATACACAGAAAAATGATTAGAAGGATATATACCCAAATATTAAAGTAATTATCTTTAGGTGATAGGATTATGAGTGATTTTTCTTTTCTCTTTCTTTTATTTTTTATCGATATTTATATAAGATTCTTTAATAGGCAGGGACTAATACATTTTATTTGAAATACATGCCAAGGCCAGATGTGGTGGCTCATGCCTGTAATCCCAGCACTTTGGGAGGCTGAGGTGGGCAGATCACGAGGTCAGGAGATCGAGACCATCCTGGCCAACATGGTGAAACCCTGTATCTACTAAAAATACAAAAATTAGCTGGGCGTGGTGGTGCATGCCTGTAATCCCAGCACTTTGGGAGGCCAAGGCGGGCAGATCACGAGATCAGGAGATCAAGACTATCCTGGCCAACATGGTGAAACCCCGTCTCTACTAAAAATACAAAAATTAGCTGAGCATGGTGGTGCATGCCTATAATCCCAGCTGCTCAGGAGGCTGAGGCAGGAGAATCACTTGAACCCAGGAGGTGGAGGTTGCAGCGAGCCAAGATCACGCCACTGCACTCCAGCCTGGGCGACAGAGCGGGACTCCGTCTCAAAAAAAAAAAAAATTAGCAAGGTGCACACCTATAGTCCGAACTACTCGGGGGACTGAGGCAGGAGAATTGCTTGAACCCAGGAAGTGGAGGCAGCAGTGAGCCAAGATCGTGCCATTGCTCTCCAGTCTGGGTGACAGAGCGAGACTCCATCTCAAAATAAAATAAAATAAAATACATGCCAGACCACTGCACATCTTTTAGAATGGCAAAAATTCGAAACACTGACAATATCCATTGCTGGTGAGAATGTAAACAGGAACTCTCATTGACAGTGGGAATGCAAAGTGGTACAGCCACTTTGGAAAGACATTTTGTCAGTTCCTTACAAAACGAAACATACCCTTACCGTATAATCCAGCAATCTCCCTCCTTGATATTTACCCAAAGGAGTTGAGAACTTATGTCTCCACAAAAATCTGCAAATGGATATTTATAGCAGCTTTATTCATAATTACCCAAACTTGAAAGCAACCACAATGTCCTTAAGTGGATGAATGTGTAAACTGTGGTATATCCAGACAATGAAATATTATTGAGCACTAAAAAGAAATGAGCTATTCAGGCATGAAAAGGCAGAGAGGAACTTTAAATTCATGTTACTGGCTAGGCTCACACCTGTAACCCTATCACTTTGGGAGGCCAAGGCAGGAGGATCACTTAAGCCCAGTTGTTTGAGACCAGCCTGGACAATATAGTGAGACTACGTCTCTATTTTAAAATAGAAAAAAAAAACACATATAAATACATATTACTAAATGAAAGAAGACAATCTGAAAAGGGTACCTACTACATGATTTCAGCTATGTGACATTCTGGTAAAGGTAAACTGGTGAAAGTCAGCTGGCCGTGGTGCCTCATGCCTGTAATCCCAGGACTTTAGGAACCCGAGGCAGGCAGATCACTTGAGGTCAAGAATTCAAGACCAGCCTGGCCAACATGGTGAAACCCCATCTCTACTAAAAATATAAAAATTAGCTGGGCATGGTGGTGCATGCCTGTAATCCCAGCTACTCAGGAGGCTGAGGCACAGGAATCGCTTGAGCTTGGGAGGAGGAGGTTGCAGTGAGCCAAGATGAAGGATCAAGCTGCTGCACCCCAGCCTGAGTGAAGGAGTGAGACTCTGCCTAAAAAAAAAAAAAAAAAAAAAAACCAAACCAAAAACAAAACTGTGGTGAAAATGAAAAGATCAATGGCTGTCAGGGGTTGGGGGAAGGATGTGATGACTAATAGGCAGAGCACAGAAGATTTTTAGGGCAGTAAAACTATTCTGTATATTATAATAGTGGATACATGTCATTCTGCCTTTGTCAAAACTCATAGGATGCATAACACCAGGAGTGAAACCTAATGTAAACTCTGAACTTTGGGTGATTAAAAAAAAACATGCTGGATATATACGTATGTAATCTATCTGTCTATCTATCATCTATCATCTCTCTAGATACATAGATATATATTGAAATAGCCGTATCTACTGTCACTCTCCTCAATGCCTTTCCCTTTAGAGACAGAATGAGGAAAAGAAATAAGACCAATCTTGCTTTCCCAAGAGAATGTGGAAAATTTCTTTATACCCGCCCCATTCAGCCACCTGTGGGTCTCACTGGGACTACTTATGTGCCTCCAGTTCTCCATAGAGCCCTGTAATGGAGGCTTTGGGCCCCACTGCCCACTGTCCTATGCACTCACAAAAGTACACTGGGTTATTCACAAGTCTGGCTGTGTTTTTTTTTTGGTGGGTGGGGTGGGGTGTGGGGGGATGGAGTTTTTGCTCTTGTCACCCAGACTGGAGTGCAATGGCGTGATCTCTGCTCGCTGCAACTTCCGCTCCTGGGTTCAAGTGATTCTCCTGCCTCAGCCTCCCCAGTAGCTGGGATTACAGGAACCCACCACCACGCCTGGCTAATTTTTGTATTTTTAGTAGAGATGGGGTTTCACCATGTGGACAGGCTGGTCTCAAACTCCTGACCTCAGGTGATCTGTCTGCCTCGGCCTCCCAAAGTTCTGGGATTACAGACGTGAGCCAACGCGCCCGGCCAGTTTGGCTGATTTTTAGAGCCATGCTCAGCACTGGTGTAGGCTCATGGAAGGGACTGCACTCAGGGAACGCTCACTGACTGGCACTGGGGGAAGAGCCAACCTTATCTGCTTACTCTGTACATATTAAGTATATCCAGGAAATTCAAAGACAGTAGACAGGGCTTAAAGAGAATGTCCACAAGAGGAACAAAAATCAGGCACTTTAAGACTAACTTAGGCCGGGCACGGTGACTCACCCCTGTAATTCCAGCATTTTCGGAGGCCGAGGTGGGCGGATCACGAGATCAGGAGATCAAGACCATCCTGGCTAACACAGTGAAACCCCGTCTCTACTAAAAATACAAAAAAATCAGCCAGACGTGGTGGTAGGCGCCTGTAGTCCCAGCTACTCGGGAGGCTGAGGCAGGAGAAAGGTGTGAACCCAGGAAGCAGAGCTTGCAGTGAGCCCGAGGTTGTGCCACTGCACTCCAGCCTGGGCGAAAGAGCAAGACTCCGTCTCAAAAAAAAAAAAAAAGACTAACTTAAAAAAAAACAAGACTCCTAAAATTTACAGCTGGAATTTAAAAATATTTGCAACAATCTTTTTTTTTTTTTTTTTTTTGGAGACAGAGTCTCATTCTGTTGTCCAGGCTGGAGTGCCCTGGTGCAATCTCGGCTCACTGCAACCTCTGCCTCCTGGGTTCAAGCAATTCACCTGCCTCAGCCTCCTGAGTAGATGAGATTACAGGTGCCCACCACGATGCCCAGCTAATTTTTGTATTTTTAGTAGAGACACGGTTTCACCATGTTGGCCAGGCTGGTCTCAAACTCCTGACCTCAGGTGATCCGCCTGCCTTGGCCTCCCAAAGTGCTGGGATTACAGGCGTGAGCCACTGTGCCCCACCTGTAACAATCATTAATTACACATAAGCTTTTACATTAATGTTAAATAATTAAAATATTAAAAGCTTATTTTACATTAATTAATGTTAAATGTTAATTAGTGTTAAATAATGTAAAATAAGCTTTACCATTAATGTTAAAATCTTCGAAAACACACATGTCAAGAAATATTAGAAACCCATTCTAGCTCTTCCTAAAATTTTCAGAAGTTCTTATGCGGGTGCTATTCAGGAAAAGTTTTCTGAATGGTCATATTTTAATTTTTTTTTTTTTTAAGAGATGTTGCTCACTATGTTGCCCAGGCTGGTCTCGAACTCCTGGGCTCAAGCAATCAACCCACCCTGGCCTCCCAAAGTTCTGGGGTTACAGGCTTGAGCCACTGCACCCAGCCCCGAACAGTCATATTTTAAAAATTCAGTTTTTCTTTCCTTAGATGCTCTCAGTCAGTGTTGGCCATCCTCAATTTGCACTTCTTCCTAAAGTTGTTTTAGTTTTTGAGGAAGGTTTTCTTTCCTGTCAGTAAATGTTTATATTTTCAGGCTGATTAGTGATTAGAAGAGTACGTCTGAGATAGTATAGATAAAAAGAAAGTTGTATATTTAAATTTGGAGAGGCTTTTGAAATAGATATTCTTGGAGTTGTGCTGTCTCCCCCAGCCACTGTGGTGATGGATCTTGCCCAAAAGTCTCACAGAGGTGACTCACTCAGGCAAGAATTGCTTAAATTCACATGGGTGTATGTAATGGGCACAGATGTCAGGTTGATGTAGCCAGTACACCAAGGGGAAGCTTCAGTGCTCTGGTGGTCACCACAAAAGTAGGTGGCAGAACTGGAGGATCCCCCCTGCATTAGTATTGTTGTTATTAGTCTAACAATTTTGAGTTCTTATTGATTTCTTTATTTTAATTTTTAATGTAATTATATTTATTTATTTTACTCATTAAATTTCATAACTTTATGTAATAAGGACCGCTTATATATTTTTTTTTCACTTGAGGTTATACCAGTTTAGCCCCTGGCTTCCTTGACTGTAAAGCCCAAGCAATTACTGATTGCACTGTACTTCAATCCAGGGGTCCCCAACCTCTGGGCAGTGGACTAGTACCAGTACATGGCCTGTTAGGAACCGGCCGCACAGCAGGGGCTGAGCAGAGGGCGAGGGAGCATTAACCCTGAGCTCCACCTCCTCTCAGATCAGTGGCAGTGTTAGATTCTCACAGGAGCCTAGACCCTATTGTGAACATGCGAGGGATCTAAGTTGCGTGCTCCTTATGAGAATCTAACTAATGCCTGATGATCTGAGATAGTACAGTTTCATTCCAAAGCCATCCCCTCTACCCCTGGCCCGTGGAAAAATTGTCTTCCATGAAACCGGTCCCTGGTGCCAAAAAGGTTGCAGACCACTGCTTTAATCCACCAAACTGGTTAGATTAAATATATAGTGTATTAGGGTCCTGTGGAGAAACGAACCAACAAGATTTATATCTGTCTATATCTATACCTATATCTATATCTATATATTCTATACAAGGATATATATATATTCTATACAAGATATATATGTATCTCCTTGTATAGAATATAAAGATATTTTTTATATATATGTGTGTGTGTGTATATATATCTTGTATAGAATATACAAGATCTCCTTGTATAGAATATAAAGAGATTTTATATAAGGAATAGGCTCCCGGTGATTATGGAGGCTGACCAGTCCCATGATCTACAGTCAGGAAGCTGGAGACCCAGGAGAGGCAAGGGTGTAGTTCCAGTCTGATCTCCAGCCGGCTTGAGACCCAAGAAGAGCTGCGTTTCAGTTTGAGTCTGAAGGAAAGAAAAAATCAGTTTCGGGCTAAGGCAGTCAGGCAGCAGGAGTTGCCTCTTAGCCCTTTTGTTGAGTTCCAGTCTTCAACTGACTGGATGAGACTCACCCACATGAGTGAGGGCCATCTGCTTCCCTCAGTTTCCTGATTCACATGTTAATCTCAGCCAGAAACACCCACACAGACACTCTGAGAAAAATGTTTGACCAAATGTCTGGGGACTCTGACCCGGTCAAGACACACAAATTAACCATCACATATGGCTACATAAAAGGCCTGGAAAAACTTCCACTGATTGACAGTTACCACACCACAAAGAACAGATTGTAAATGGTTTGACAAGCTATAAGAGCGGTCAGAATGACCCTGTGACATTTGAATGTCACACGGGTGAGGCCCTCAGTTTGGACCATGATGAAGGGTAATCCTCACAGCACAGAATGGGGTAGGAGAGGGAGGTGTGGTTCCTGTTGTACCTTTTTAGGTAGAGGGCATTGGTAGTGGTGCCAGCCTAACTCTGTCCGGTTGCTTACACCTGTGGCTGTACCTGAGGAGTACCTGTGTCACAAGAGGCTCTTAGGCTCTGAGGAAGCCAAAAGCAGAGCTCTGGGGATAGGAGGGGAACTAGGGGGTTACATGTCCCTCTGCAATATTCCATCTGCATGCCCTCAGCCCTGGGGGAAAATTTTGTAACTTTACAAAATTAGATAGAACATGAGAACACGAAACCTGACAGCAGATGCTATATGCAATTGTGGAATGTAAGTTATAGTTTTGTTTATTCCACAACAATGTAAAAATCTTGGATTTTTCTTCAAGATGGAAACTGTATTAATTTGCTAGGGTTGCTATAACAAAATATAAACTGGGTGGCTTAAATGACAGAAATCCGTTGTCTCACAGTTGTGGAGGCTGGAAGTCTGAGATCAAGGTGTGGGCAAGATCGGTTTCTTCCGAGAGCTGTGAGGGAGTAACCTGTTCCATCCCTCTCTGCTGGCATCTCGTGCTTGCTGGCGTCTCTCACATTCCTCAACCTCTGCGGCATCACCCTGATCTCTGCCTTCACCTGCACATGGTTTTTCCCTGTGTTTATGTCTGTGTCCAGATTTCTTTTTTACAAGGATACCAGTTGCTTTTGATCAGGGGCCCACCCTACTCCAGTATGACCTCATCTTAACAATTCCATCTACAATGACTCTATTTTCAAATCAGGTCACATTCTAAGGAACTGGGAGTCAGGACTTCAACATATGAAATTTGGAGGGACACAATTCAACCCCAACAGAAGCTAATAACAAGCAAAGCCATCTTTTGTAGAGAATCATCTTTATATTATAAGCTTGCCCTCTCTCCTCTCTCTCCAGTCATCTTTGTTGTATTCCACTTAGAGAGGAGCACACTCTTCCCAGTGATCCCTGCAGATACGTGGTGTGGTTGGTGTCAGGCCTCTGAGCCCAAGCTAAGCCATCATATCCCCTGTGACCTGCATGTATACATTCAGATGGCCTCCAGTAACTGAAGAATCACAAAAGAAGTGAAATTTAAATGGCCTGTTCCTGCCTTAACTGATGACATTCCACCACAGAAGTTAAAATAGCCGGTCCTTGCCTTAACTGATGACATCACCTTGTGAAATTCCTTCTCCTGGCTCATCCTGGCTCAAAAATTCCCCCACTGAGCACCTTGTGACCCCCACCCCTGCCCGCCAGAGAACAACCCCCTTTGACTGTAATTTTCCTTTACCTACCCAAATCCTATAAAACGGCCCCACCCCTATCTCCCTTCACAGACTCTCTTTTCGGACTCAGCTGCCTGCACCCAGGTGAAATAAACAGACTTGTTGCTCACACAAAGCCTTTTTCGTGGTCTCTTCACACGTATGCGACTGAAAGTTGATACCATTAAATATATATGTAGGCTGGGCGCAATGGGTAGGCTGGGTGCCATGGCTCACACCTGTAATCCCAGCACTTTGGGAGGACGAGGTTCATGGATCGCTTGAAATCAGGAGTTCGAGACCAGCCTAGCCAACATGGTGAAACCCTGTCTCTACTAAAAATACAAAAATTACAAAATGCAAAATACAAAAATACAAAAAATACAAAAATACAAATATATATATATTTATTTATTACTTGAAAATTTCTTGGCAGGGTGTAGTGGCTCACATCTGCAACCCCAGCGCTTTAGGAGGCCAAGGGTTCGAGACCAGCCTGGGCAACATTTTTAAAGAAAAAACAGTTAGCCTACTTGGGAGGCTGAGGTGGAAGGATAGCTTGAGTCCAGGAGATCTAGGCTGCAGTGAGCTATGATTGCACCACTGCACTCCAACCTGAGTGACAGAATGAGACCCTGTTTCTAAAAAAAATAAAATAAAATTATCCAAGTTAACCTGGTTCAAAATATTACCTGCGCTTCATGTAAGTGCACGAGTCATGAAGTCATTTTATTTTCTTAGCATGGAGCTTGATCCTATTGTCTTCCTTGCATTAACAGTGCTTCTGACCTCATTCCTGTCCCTGTCACCTAATGTGTGGGTGAATGTAGTTTTTCCCCACTCCATACCCTATTTTAAGATTTTGCTCTTACAATATCATTCACTGGTCATAGAACTTCAGTGGATCCTTTGTGTCAATTGTACAAATAAAGCTCCTGGCATTCAAGGATGGCTGATATGTATTCTTATCCTATTTATTCAATCCCCTGACCTCCTATAACCGGACTGCTGAGTACTGCTGAAGAAACACATGGATTGGCACTATTTTTTTTTTTTGAGATGGAGTCTCGCTCTCTCACCCAGGCTGGAGTGCAGTGGCGCCATCTCTGCTCACTGCAAGCTCCACCTCCCGGGTTCACGCCATTCTCCTGCCTTAGCCTCCCCAGTAGCTGGGACTACAGGCACCTGCCACCATGCCCGGCTAATTTTTTTGTATTTTTAGTAAAGACGGAGTTTCACCATGTTAGCCAAGATGTTCTCGATCTCCTGACATCGTGATCCGCCCACCTCGGCCTCCCAAAGTGCTGGGATTACAGGCGTGAGCCACCGCGCCTGGCCACGGATTGGCACTGTTACAAACTCATTATCTTCATCTAACCTTACGAACTTTCCTTACCATCTGTAAATATATGGCTTTCTCTGCTCTACTCCTCAATAACTATTTTAAATCTTCCTCAAGCATTAACCTAACATACTTATTCTCAGGAGCCCACGTAGTTGTTCTGAAAAATGGAGAAATTCGGTGTGATTTTTCTCACGTATCTTCCCATGAGCTTACAAGCTTATTGACGCTCACTCATCTATAGCGTGTAGGATGAGATCTACATCCTCATCGTCCACAACTTGTGTTTTTCTTTTTTTTGAGACAGAGTCTTGCTCTGTCATCCAGGCTGGAGTGCAGTGGTGTGATCTTGGCTCACTACAACCACTACCTCCCCGATTCAAGCGGTTCTCCTGCCTCAGCCTCCCGAGTAGCTGGGATTACAAATGTGTACCAACACGCCTAGCTAATTTTTCTGTTTTTAGTAGAGACAGGGTTTCACCATGTTGGCCAGGCTGGTCTCGAACTCCTGACCTCAGGTGATTCACATGCCTCGGCTTCCCAAAGTGCTGGGATTACAGGTGTCAGCCACCGTGCCCAGCCCTTCCACAGCTTTTTCTATGACACTTACCCTTGTTCCTTGACCCTACTCCGTTGGCCTCTGAGCAATTTACTCTATTGGTCAATTCCCCTTCTCTCCCAATATCATCAATCTCTCTCTCACACTATTCTTCTGATTTCAGCATAAAAACTAAATAAGCATTCACATCCTAAAGCATGAAAAGCTTTAGGGTATAACAAGATGAATTTAAGATGCTTTGTAAACTTGGTGGAAGTACAATTAGAAGTTATGTGTAAATGTTTGTGTTGGCAGTTGTAATCAGAATTGTTTTAGGGTTGAATGTACAGGAAAGTTTTAGAATGCAGGACTGTGGTAAGTACTTTACTCATTACTCATCCTCTCACTGTGTTTAAGAGATGAATTCAGGGTGCCTTAGGACAATTAGCATTTCTAGATATAAACTACATATTATCAAGAGATCTACACAAGCCAGCAAACATCTGCAGCTCTTCAGCATGGAAGGTGGCAGCTATAAGAGCAATAGCATACTCACAAGCATCTCTCCCAGGGAATTATTTTCTGGTCGTGAGCACTTTCCCCCTCTAAGGCCTACTACTGGGTCAAGAGGGCAAGAATCATGTACCTGTTAGCAGGTTTTGTTTGTTTGTTTGTTTGTTTAAATACAAGGTACAGGTCTTTTCTCAGAGGAAGAGATAACCGAACAAAGCCCTCACCAAGGTCTTCGTATACTCCGCTAGCCCAGTTCTTTAAGCCCATCACTGTCTGCCTAGATTGTAGCTTCTTTAGGACACAAACATGTTCTACAGATTTTACTATGCCTTATGCACCTACACTAGTTACTAGCTGCTCAATAAAACTGAGATGCAAAAAACATGAATACAGGCAAGGCTGATGACTCACAGCCATTCGTGCAGCTCAAGAAGGGACTGCAGAGCGTATTGTTGAGAAGTAAGCATTTGTTTTCAGCTAATATTTTAATATAATGGCCTGAAAAGTTATATAATTGGTTGATACCTATGAGAATGCAGAAAAAGTATGCATAATCCATTTTGAGGCTAGGAGAACATTTTTTTTTTTTTTTTGAGATGGAGTTTCGCTCTTGTTGACCAAGCTGGAGTGCAATGGCGTGATCTCGGCTCGCTACAAACTCCACCTCCCAGGTTTAAGCGATTTTCCTGCTTCAGCCTCCTGAGTAGTTGGGATTACAGCACCCACCACCACGCCCGGCTAATTTTTTGTATTTTTAGTAGAGATGGGGTTTCACCATGTTGGCCAGGCTGGTCTTGAACTCCTGATCTTAGGGATCCACCCGGCTTGGCCTCCCAAAGTGCTGGGATTACAGGCATGAGCAACTGTGCCCGGCCGAGAATACTTTTAATAAGCTCTATGCACAGAAATAATTTTGCAAACTTGAAGAGTAAGTCAACACAATTAAGATTTGTTAAGCATGTATTGGGCCCATTAAGGAAGAAGTAGCCATTTCTAAATAGGCAGGTAGGAAAGCTCTACTGTGATGAGGAGAAAATCTTTTTTGTTTAATATTGTCTTTGGAATCTGGTGTTTATGTTATATTTATAACATAGTGAACTTGGACTATTTACATTTCAAGTGCTCAGTGGCTATCTGTGTCAAGTAGCTACCATTTTAGACAATATAGGTGAAAAGGCACCTTAATATTGTTTGTTGAGGGAAGGTTATGAAAACACTTATCAAGTTGGCTGGGCATGGCTATGCGTGCCTATAGTCCCACATGCGCAGGAGGCTGAGGTGGAAGGATTGCTTGAGGATAACGGTTTGAGGCTGCAGTGAGCTATGACCACCCCACTGCATTTCAGCCTGGGAAACAGAGTGACACCCTGTCTTAAAAAAAGAAAACACTTAACCCCCTTTGTGCCCACTTCTTAAAGGTTTTCTTATGGGGATTAATACCTTGCAATTCCAGTTTTGTACACGTATCAGTGGCCTGCAGCTTCCCACAGGCATCTCTTTACGTGACACCAGGGAAGCTCCAAAGCAGGCAAGGCAAGGTGCTGTCAGATTACACTTACTTAAATTCTGGATATCACAGCAAAAACTAGAGTAAAACTGGGCAGAGAAGAAATGAGATAGGTTACAACATATAACTAGCAAGTCAGGAAGTTAAAATTAAAACAATGAAGAGATACCATTTTTTATCCTATCAAATTGACCAAGATTAAAAAGCGATAGCCCATTTAGGAGAAACCGAACAAGAGCCCTGGGAATGAATGCAAAGGAGTCCAGTATCACTGGGTAGATAGGATCGACAGGGTGAGACTATTGATTAGATATGGGAAGTAAGGGAAAGGCAGGTGTTCCACCTGCCTCCAGCCTGAGTCACTGAAAGGATTCTTTTGCCATTAGTTTAGTTAGACAGAGAATATAGGAAAGAGAGCTGGTTTTTCAGAAGCAAGAACGGATTGGTAATGTTGAGTTAAAAATTTATATTTGGGTGCTCACTTCAGCAGTGCATATACTAAAGTTGGAACGATACAAAGAAAATTGGCATGGCCCCTGCACAGGAATGACACACAAATTTGTGAAGAAAAATAAAGTTGTATTTGGAACTTGTTAGTGAGATACAGGTTGTGAGTCACTGCAAATAAACAGCAGCTGAAACCTTCTCCAGAAGGACAGTGAGGTTTTAAAAGGACTTAGGGGAACTTCATCAAATGCCAATTTTAGAGGGTTGTCTGAAGATTGGGGGCTAGTGGTAGGAAGAAAATGAGGACATCAGAGTGTCATAGATTGGGGAGATATTTTCAAAGGAGTGAGTTTAACTCAGCTGAATGCTGCAGAAAGGTGGAGTGGTAAGAAAGCCACAAAGAGGTCATTCGACTTATTTAATAGAAAATTATTTCAGACTTTAGAGGGAGAAATGTCTATAAAGTAAAATGAGCAAAAAAGACATTACACAGGGTTGGAATAAATAATACCAGCTCATATTGAAGGAATCACAAAGTGATCTTCATGTTGATGAAGGGAAAGAAAAATGATAGTCTGTGGTAGGAAGTAAAACTGCTGAGATGGACATTGAAATCTGGAATTGTGAATATGTTTTTCTTAGAAATTTAATAAGAATTAAAACTAATTCTTCTTAATTTAAATTTTTTTTTTTTTGCAGTTGCAGTAGTAGTTGCAAGTGAAGGAGGGTAAGAGAACAGTAAAGAGAAAAATATGATAAGGGAGGGCCATGGGATTTATGATTTTAGTTACTTTCCTCCCGGTTGTCGCTTGAAGAGCAGGCGCAGATCCTCTAGAGGTTCAAAGGAATTGCTAGCGTTGTTTCCTGGATTTTCAGGTTCCTTTGGTAGTATCCAGGGTTTGACTCGAGTGTGATGTATCCAAGACTCCACTCCAGCCACTTTTACTGCGGTTGGGGTAGATAAAATGACTGGGTAGGGTCCTTCCCAGGATATATCTAGGCAATGAGAATTAGAGGGAAGGGACTTGACTAATACCATGTCACCAGGGTGGAATAGTTCCTTCCCCTCTTCTCGGGGACAGGCTCCTTGTAATGTTTTAAGAACTTGTTGATATTTGGATAAGGAGGTGATGTCTGCAACTAAGTTGGCTCTCTCTCAGTCAAGCACAAGGTCATTGGTTAGGAAGGGCTATCCATATAGCATTTCGTATGGGCTAAGTCCTGCTTTTTGGGGAGAGTTTTGGATTCTTAGTAAGGCTATAGGCAACAGAGCAGGCCATGTGAGGTGGTTTTCCTGGGTTAGCTTTTTTTAGATGTCGTTTGAGTGTTTCATTCAGTTTCTCGGCCTTCCCTGAGGACTGCCTCCAGGCGCAGTGTAAGTGATATTGTATACCTAACACCTGGGATACTCCTGGGTTACTGTAGCCTTGAAAGCAGGGCCATTGTCACTCTGTAAGCCTCAGGGAAGTCTGAATCTGGGAATTATTTCATGAACTAATGCCTTTATTACCTCTTGGGACTTTTCTGTCTTACAGGGGAAGGTCTCTGCCCAACCAGTGAAAGTATCTACCCAAACTAGTAGATACTGAAATCCCTGAGATTTGGGCATGTGGGTAAAATCTAGTTGCCAGTCTTCTCCTGGGTAATGGCCTGTTCTTTGTTCTCCTGAAGGAGCTTGGTGATAAGGCATGGGATTATTTCTTCGGCACACTTCAC
The DNA here is from genome assembly GCF_000001405.40 of Homo sapiens. Classification (NCBI taxonomy): domain Eukaryota; kingdom Metazoa; phylum Chordata; class Mammalia; order Primates; family Hominidae; genus Homo; species Homo sapiens. Next base: position 110,279,874 of record NC_000004.12, read on the forward strand.
AGGCCCTGACTAGCTGCTTGATAGTTTTGAAAAGGCCTGGTCCAGTAAATAATGATTTGGCCATCTGATGGGTGCTATCAATGTCTAAGTGAAAGGTTTGGTGAAGGGTTTTAAGTAATTTCCATTGGTTAGCTGCAGGCAAAAGTATTTTTCCTTCTTCGGTGGCTAGCCATCCTGAGGGGAGGAAACTATGTCCTCGTGAGGTTCCCCATTCTATTTCTTTTTCTAAGTATTGGGGCTTGGTTTCCCGGAGGGGATTACCCCATACTAGGGGTCCTTCTATAAGCATTTCTAATGGAGGGTCCTGCCTTGCGGCTCTTTTGGCTTCAATATCCGCTTGGCAGTTCCCTTTTATTTCCCTTTCCTTTTCTTTCTGACCACCCCAGCAGTGTAAGACTGCCACCTCTTTAGGTTTCTGTATAGCCAATAATAATCTCCTAATAACTTCCTGATGTTTGATAGGTGTTCCCTCAGAAGTTAAGCATTCCCTTTCTCTCCATATTGCTGCGTGGGCACGGAGGACTAGGTAAACATACTTAGAATCTGTATGTGTATTTACCCTTTTTCCTTCTCCTAATTCTAGTGCCCGAGTGAGGGCTATTAGTTCTGCCAGCTGAGCGCTGGTTCCTGGAGTGAGGGGATTATTTTCAAGTATTCCATTATCACTGAGCACTGCATACCCCACTTTTCAAAGTCCTTTTTCTACAAAGGAACTTCCATCAGTATACAAGTTGAGGTCGGGATCAGTTAAGGGAACCTCTAAAAGGTTCCCTCGAGCGGCCTAGGTTTGAGAAATTACTTGTTGGCAGTTATGTTCTATCTTCATTGTCTGGAAGAAATGTGGCTGGGTTAAGAGCTGCACAACTGCGCAGTTGCTGCACTGGCCCTTCAAGTAATACAGCCTGATATTTAAGTAAATGGTTGTCTGACAGCCACAAGTCTCCTTTAGCAGTGAGTATGCCATTCACATCATGAGATGTCCACACAGTAAGATCTCTTCCCTGTATCATTTTAACTGCTTCAGATGCTAAGACTGCTACTGCCGCCACTACCCATAAACAATGAGGCCAACCCTTTGCCACTACATCAATTTCCTTACTCAGGTATGCCATGGGTTGCAAGCTCATCCCTCAGACTTGTGTAAGGACTCCTAGAGCTATTTCCTGTTTTTTCTGTGACATACGAAGTAAAGTCTTGCCCTGTTGGCAAGCTTAACACTGGGGCTTGGGTTAGGGCCCTCTTTAGGGCCTGGAAAGCTGCTTCTGCTTCAGGTATCCATCTTACTAAATGGGTATTGGCTTTCTGAGTTTCCTTAATTAGCGTATATAATGGTCTGGCTATTTTGCCATACCTGGGAATCCATATTCAGCAGAAACCTGTTATGCCAAGGAACTCTCTTAGTTGCTTTAGGATTTGGGGATGAGGATAAGCCAGTATAGGCTTGATATGTTCCTCACTGAGGGCCCTGGTGCCTTTGGATAATTTTAGCCCCAAGTATTTAAACTGCTGTGAGCAGAGCTGGGTCTTTGGTTTGGAAACCTTGTAGCCACAGGTAGCGAGGAAATTTAAGAGTGCTTGGGTGGCTTGATGGCACAAGGTTTCTGAACAGGAAGCTAAAAGTAAATCATCCACATACCAAAGGAGAAGAGTGTCCAGGTATGAGAATTGGCTCAAGTCTTGGGCTAATGCCTGGCCAAATAGATGGGGGCTATCCCTGAACCCTTGGGGTAAAAAAGTCCAGGTGAGTTGAGATGTTGCATTCGAAGGATCTTCAAAGGCAAACAAGAATTGAGAGTCAGGATGTACAGGGATGCAGAAAAAGGCATCCTTAATATCCAGGACTGTAAACCATTCTGCTTCCTCTGGTATTTGAGAAAGCAGAGTATAAGGGTTAGGTACAGCTGGGTATAGAGGGACAACGGCCTCATTGATAATCCTGAGATCTTGCACTAACCTCCACTGTCCGTTGGGTTTCTGTACTCCTAAAATTGGAGTATTGCAGGGGCTATTGCATGGTTTTACTAGGCCTTAGGCTTTTAGGTCCTTAACAATCTTTTGGAGTCCTTGTTGGGCCTCCGGTCTAAGGGGGTACTGCCTTCGGTAGGGAAAGAAGGCGGAATCCTTTAGTTTAACTTGAACAGGATGGGCATTCTTTGCTGGTCCATATTGTCCTTCTGTTGCCCAGACTTCAGGATTAATTCCTTCCTCAAGCAGGGGACAACAAACAGGTGTTCCTTCTCCTATGTTCAGTTGTATAATGGCCCCTGCTTTTGCTAGAATGTGTCTCCCTAACAAGGGAGTGGGGCTTTCAGGCATAATTAGAAAAGCATGTGAAAAGAGTAAAGCTCCCCACTCACAACTTAGTGGCTGGGAGAAGTATCTAGTGACTGGCTGTCCTAGGACCCCTCGGATAGTGACAGATCTGGAGGACAGTTGTCTGGGACAGGAAAGTAAGACTGAGAAGGCTACACCAGTGTCCCAGAGACAGTTAACCTCCTGGCCTTCAATGGTCAAGCATACCCGGGGCTCTGTGAGGGTGATGGCATGGGCTGGCGCTTGCCCCGGGCACCCTCAGTCCTGCTGCTGGATCATCTGGTTAGTGGCTTCTGACTCAGAGGACCTTCATCCCCTGGGGCAGTGGGCCTTCCAGTGATTCCCATGCCATAAGGGGCATGGACAAGGGGTGGCTTACTTCTACTTGGACAATCTTTTTTAAAGTGTCCTTGTAGACCGCACTGGAAGCAAACCCTATTAGGCATTCAATTTTCTCAGCTTTTCCCTTTTCCAGAGCCTCCATAGTCCGCTTGCCTGAGGGCCATGACTAAAGCGGTGGCCTTTTTTTTTTAATCCCGTTTGTCCCATTCTGCCTGCTCCTCCTGATCTCTATTATAAAAAACCGAGGTTGCCAAGTTCAATAGGGTTTCTAAGTTTTGTTCCGAGCCTAAGACGGACTTTTGAAGTTTTTTTCTAATGTCTGCAGCTGACTGAGTGATAAACTTATCTTTTAAGATTAGTTGGCCTTCAATAGAGTCAGGTGGCAGGGAGGTATGCTTCCTCAATGCCTCCCTTAGTCTCTCTAGAAAGGCAGTAGGATTTTCTTCCTTTCCCTGTGTTGTAGTGGACATCATTCAATAATTCACAGGCTTCTTCCTAGTTTTCCTTAGTCCTTCTAGCACACAAGTTAGCAAATGTCTGTGGCACCAATCTCCATGTTCTGATTCTGTGTCCCAGTGAGGGTCTACATTGGGAACTGCCTGCCGGCCTGTGGGGAATTATTCTCTTTCCTCTCTTGTCATCCTATCATTGACCTGACTGAGATACCAGAGATCGCCAAACTCTCGGGCTGCAGTTATGGCGGCACTTCTCTCATTCAGGGTTAGTGTCTGATTTAGCAGTAACATTGTATCTCTCCATGTCGGATCAAAGGATTGTCCTAACCCTTGTAAAACATCAATATAGCCATCAGGGTTATCTGAGAATTTACCTAGGTCTATTTTAATTTGCTTTAAGTCTGAGAGAGAAAAAGGTACATGCACTCTGGCTGGGCCAAATTCTCCTCCTCCCACTGCTTGGAGGGGGCATAATCGGGGAATTTTGGCACTCTTTGGTTCATTGTCTACCCCTTTGTCTATCTCTTTTTGGACCATTTGGGTTGAAGGGGGGTCCTTATTAGTTGGAGAAGGAGTCGGAGAGACGCTGGGGTAGGGAGGTAGGCTCTGAGGGCTTCCTGTAGGGCATAAATCACACTTCTTACAAAATTGCAAGTTGTCTCTTAATGAAAAGAAATTTTGTACATATGGCACTTCACTCCATTTGCCTTCTTTTCTACAAAAGAGTTCTAGCTGTAAGATGGTATTATAATTTATACTTCCCTCAGGAGGCCAGGTTTCTCCCCCTTGAAGAGGATATCGTGGCCAGGCGGTACTGCAGAAGAATATAAGTCATTTCTTTCTTAGCGTCTGAGGGTCAAATTGGTCCCAATTCTCCAGAATACATCTTAGGGGCATTTTTGCCTCGGGGGGAACGTTTCCCATCGCTTTTGGAGGTCCCTTTGTGGTCACCAAAATGTTACTGGGGGGTCCTTGCTCCTAGAGCTCCCAAGATGGTGGCAGGCCGCTTCCAAGGTGGCGGCAAGCCTCGTGTTCTCTGACCTGGGGTTCTTGGCCTTACCGATTCCAAGGAATAGAATCTGGGGCCACGTGGTGAGTGTTATAGCTCTATTAGAAGCCGTGGGTCATGGAAGAGAACCGTGGAACCCAGTGACTAGTGTTCAGCTCGATTAGGACGAACCCAGGCACTTAGCCATGCAGCAACAATGGCAAGCCTCTAGCCTGATCAGGAGTGGCAATGGGCACCTCGCTGGCTCAGGAGCACAGCAGACACCCTGCCGGATTCGGAGGGATGGAAGTCAGCGGTGGGTCTGCAAAGGTGGCAAACAGCAGTGGTGGACGGCGAGCAAAAGCTCAGCTTGAGCCATAACAAACACGGACCAGAAGTGAGTGCAGTTGCAAGATTTAATAGAGTGGAAACAGAGCTCCCATACAAAGGGAGGGGACCCAAAGAGGGTAGCCCAAATTTTTTAAAATTAAAAAAATTTAATTTAAAATTTAAAACATTAAAATTAATTAATTTTAATAATTACAATTTCATGTAATTAAAAATTTAGCCAGGTGCAGTGACTCATGCCTGTAATCCTGGGACTTAGGAAGGCTGAGGTGAGAGGATCACTTGAGCCCAGGAGTTTGAGACCAGCCTGGGCAACATAGTGAGACTGCTATCTCTACAAAAAAAAAAAATTAACCAGATGTGGTGGTAGGCACCTATAGTCCCAGCTACTCGAGAGGCAGAGGTGTGGGGATTGCTTGAACCCTGGAGGTAGAGGTTGCAGTGAGCCAAGACTGTGCCATTGCACTCCAGCCTAGGCAACAAGAGTGAAACTCCTTCTCAACAAAACCCCCCAAACAACAACAACAATAACAACAAAAACACATGGAGCTACATCAAACTGAAAAGCTTCTACACAGCAAAGAAAATAACCAAATGAAAAGATAATCTACAGACTGAGAGAAAATATTTGCAAACCATTAATCTGGCTAATATCCGAAATATATAAGAAATTCATACAACTCAATAGCAACAAAACA